>NT_113796.3:0-201709 GCF_000001405.40 Homo sapiens
GAATTCTGTGAAAGCCTGTAGCTATAAAAAAATGTTGAGCCATAAATACCATCAGAAATAACAAAGGGAGCTTTGAAGTATTCTGAGACTTGTAGGAAGGTGAAGTAAATATCTAATATAATTGTAACAAGTAGTGCTTGGATTGTATGTTTTTGATTATTTTTTGTTAGGCTGTGATGGGCTCAAGTAATTGAAATTCCTGATGCAAGTAATACAGATGGATTCAGGAGAGGTACTTCCAGGGGGTCAAGGGGAGAAATACCTGTTGGGGGTCAATGCCCTCCTAATTCTGGAGTAGGGGCTAGGCTAGAATGGTAGAATGCTCAAAAGAATCCAGCGAAGAGGAATATTTCTGAGATAATAAATAGGACTGTCCCATATTGGAGGCCTTTTTGAACAGTTGTTGTATGGTGACCCTGAAATGTACTTTCTCAGATACAGAACACCCTTGGTCAATTGAATACAGATCAATCACTTTAAGTAAGCTAAGTCCTTACTAAATTGATGAGACTTAAACCCATGAAAACTTAACAGCTAAACTCCCTAGTCAACTGGTTTGAATCTACTTCTCCAGCAGCTGGGGGAAAAAAGGTGAGAGAAGCAGGATTGAAGCTGCTTCTTTGAATTTACAATTCAACATGAAAATCACCTTGGGACTGGTAAAAACAGGCGTTGACCTCTGTTTTTAGATGTACAGTCTAATGCCCTACTCAGTCATTTTACCCTTTTTTCTCACTTCATTTATGTTGGCTGACAGTTGACTATTCTCAACCAACCATAAAGATATCGAGACATTATATTTATTATTTGGCTCATGAGCAGGGATAGTCAGTACAGCTTTAAGCCTTATTCGAGCTGAACTCTACTAGATGATCAAATTTATGTCATTGTTATAGCCTATGCATTTGTCATAATTTTCTTTATGGTAATACTATAATTGGAGGTCTTGGCAACTGATTAGTCCCCCGATAATTGGCGCCCCCGATATAGCATTTCTCTGCATAAATAATATGAGCTTCTGACTCCTCCCACCCTCCTTCCTTTTATTACTTGCATCCACTATAGTAGAAGCCGGCACTGGAACCGGCTGAACAGTCTCTCCTCCCTTAGCAGTAAACCTAACACATGCAGGCGCCTCTGTAGATTTCACTATCTTTTCACTCCACTTGACAGGTGTTTCTTCTACTTCAGGGGCTATTAACTTTATTACCACAATTGTTAATATAAAACCCCCAGCCATGTCCCAATATCACACACCCCTCTTCATCTGATTAGTCCTAATTACAGCAGTTCTTCTACTCCTTTGTCTCCGAGTCCTAGCCGCCGGCATCACTATATTGTTAACTGACTGCAATCTTAATACTACTTTTTTTCTATCTGGCTGGCGGAGGTGATCCTATCTTATTTCAGCATTTATTCAGATTCTTTGGTCACCCTGAAGTCTACATCCTCATCCCACTGGGCTTTGGGATAATTTCCCGCGTCGTAACATACTATTCTGGAAGAAAAAAGAACCATTCAGGTATATGGGCCTAGTGTGAGCTATAGGATCAGTTGGGTCCTTACGATTTATTGTATGGGCCCACCGTATATTTACGGTAGGGATAGATGTGGATACATGAGCCTGCTTCACCTCTGCTATTATAATTATTGCTATTCCTACTAGCGTCAAAGTTTTTAGCTGACTAGCTAGCTACACTTCACGGCGGTAATATCAAATGATCCCCCGCAATGCTGTGAGCCCGGGGATTTATTTTCCTTTTTACAGTAGGAGGCCTAACCAGCATTGTATTGGCCGAGGCTTATATTATGGTTCATTCATATATTTAGAAACCTGAAAGTTTCTAAATAAGTTGTAAAAAAGTTGTAAAAAAACCCCAGCTGAAATAACTACGAAGGTGCCTTTAATATTCTGAAGACAAAATAGCTAAGATCCAAACTGGGAGTAGATACCCCGCTATGCTTAACTCTAAACTCGAATAGTTAGATCAACAAAACTGTTCGCCAGAACACTACAAGCAACAGCTTAAAACTCAAAGGACTTGGCGGTGCTTTATATCCCTCTAAAGGAGGCTGTTCTATAATCGATAAACCCCAATTTACCTCACCACCTCTTGCCCAGCCTAAATACCTCCATCTTCAGCAAACCCTGGAAAGGCCGCAGAGTAAGCACAAGTATCTACATAAAAACTTTAGTTCAAGGTGTAGCCCATGAGGTGGCAAGAAATAGGAACGTTTTCTACATCCAGAAAAATGTCGCGACAACCGTTATGAAATCTAAGGGCTCAAGGAGGATTTAGCAATAAATTGAGAGCAGAGTGTTTAATTGAATAAGGCCATGAAGCATGCACACACCGCCCGTCACCCTCCTCAAATACATTCTAGAAACTCATTGTACACTCCCCTGTGATATTGTCCATAATATCCAGGGAGGGAGAGAATGATTTGATTTTTTTTTTTGAGACAGAGCCTTGCTCTGTCGCCCGGGTTGGAGTGCAGTGGCCTGATCTTGGCACACTGCAAGCACCGCCTCCCAGGTTCACACCATTCTCCTGCCTCAGCCTCCCTAGTAGCTGGGACTACAGGCGCCCGCCACCACGCCCGGCTAATTTTTTGTATTTTTAGTAGAGACGGGGTTTCACCATGTTAGCCAGGATGGTCTCGATCTCCTGACCTCGTGATCCGCCCGCCTCGGCTTCCCAAAGTGCTGGGATTACAGGTGTGAGCCACCGCTCCTGGCCAGAGAGAATGATTTTACTCCCCATATCGCAGGGGATTTACATTCCCCTGCATTATTTTTCGTAATATCCAGGGGGAAGATGAAGATGTTACTCCCCATATAGCATGGGAGAACAATTCCCTGCGATATTGTTCATAATATCTCTGGGGGAAAGAATTATATTTCTCCTTTTATCGCAGGAAGTGTACACCCCCTTGTGATATTGTTTATAATATCTAGTGGGGGAGAGGATGATGCTACTCCCCATATTGCAGGGGGTGTACAACCCCCTAGAATATTGTTCATAATATCCACGCGGGGAGGAGATGATGTTACTACCCATATCGCCAGGGTGTACTGCCCCCTGCCATATTGTTTGTAATATCCAGGCTGGGAAAGGATGATATTACTCCCTGTATCACAGGGGATGTACACACCCCTGTGATATTATTAGTAATATCCATGGGGGAGATAATACTACTTCCAATACCATAAACACCCTGTGTGTACACCCTCTGTGATATTGTTTGTAATATCCAGGGTGGGAGAGGAGTATATTACTCCCTATAAGGCAGAGTGTGTATACACCCCTCTGTGATATTGTTCATAATATCCACTGGGGGATATGATATTACTCCCAATATCGTAAACACCTCACATGTACACCGTCTGTGATATTATTTGTAATATCCAGTGGGGGAGAAGATGATTTTACTTTCCACATTGCAGGGGTTTACACCCCTCTGTGATACAGTTTGTAATATCTAGAGGGGGAGAGGGTTATATTACTCCTCATATCTCAGGACATGTACACCCCCTGTGATATTGTTTGTAATATTGTTCCCAATATCCTTTTCCCCCATGGATATAGGAACAGTATCCCATAGGACGTGTACACCCCCTGCCATATTGGAAGTAGTAGTGTTTTCTCCCTTGCTGGACATTAGGAACAATACCATGGGGGGGTGCACACCCCCTGTGATATTGACAGTAATGTAATCCACTATCCCCTAAATATAGGAACAATATCACAATGGTGATGTACACACTTGGTGATATTGAAAGTGATATGATCCTCTCCCCACCTGAATATTGGGAACAATATCACAGAAGGGGTGTACACCCCCTGCGATATTGACAGTAATATCCTCTCCCACCCCCGGATATTAGGAGCAATGTCACAGAAGGGTTGTACACTCCCTGCGATATTGACAGTAATATCCTCTCCTCCCCGGATATTAGGAACAATATCACAGAAGAGGTGTACACCCACTGTGATATTGACAGTAATTTCCTCTTCCCCCCCGGATATTAGGAACAATACCACGGGGGGTGTACACCCCCTGCGATATTGACAGTAATATCATCCTCTCCCCGCCAGATATTAGTAACAATATCACTGAAGGGGTCTACACCCCCTGTGATAGTGACAGTAATATCCTCTACCCCCCAGATATTAGGAACAATACCATGGGAGGATGTACACCCCCTGTGACATTGACAGTAATATAAACCTCTCCCCCCACCCTGGATATTAGGAAGAATACCACGGGGGGTGCACACCCCCTCTGATATTGGGAGTAATATCACCCACTATCCCCTAAATATTAGGAACAATATCACAGGGCGGGGAGTACACCCTCTGCAATATTGGGAGTAATGTCATTTCCCTGCCCCTGCATACTAGGAATAATATCACAAGGGATGTACACCCCCATATGCTCTTGGGAGTAACATCACTCTTTCTTCCCATGGATATTAGGAACAATATCACAGAAATGGTGTACATACGCTGCACTGTATAGAATAAAGCAGGCGGAGGAAGATGGGATAACCTTGCTAGCTGAAGCTTCTGGCTCTCTTTTTTTCTTCTTCCCGTGCAGGACACTTGCTTCCCTTCTTCCTGCCCTCGGACATGAGACTCCAGGTTCTTATGCCTTTGGACTCTGGGACTTGCACCAGCGGCTTCCCCGAGGCTCTCAGGCCCTCGGCCTCATACTGAAGACTGCACTGCGGGCTTTCCTGGTTTTGAGGCTTTTGGACTTGGACTGAGCCACTACTAGCTTCTCTCTTTCCCTACCTGGCAGACAGCCTATTGTGGGACTGCCTTCTAACCGTGTGAACCAATTCTCTCTCGTAAACTCCCTTATACATATACCTGTATCTTGTTGGTTCTGTCCCTCTGGAGAACCCTGACTCATACATTTTGTTTATTTTTTCTCCATTGTCCTTTCCTCTGCTTCTAGGCTTACCTAGACCACCACCATTCTTTCCCCCTTTCTAAAGTAAAAGTTGTCTTTTTCTCACTAAATGCATGGCATTCTGCCCGTTTTCCATGGCTTTCCTCAGCCCTGCTCTGTTTATTCTTGCTATCTTAAGAGGAAATCCCTGCCTCTTCCGTGGCTTTTCCCACTTGGTCTACATACTGGTTTCTGTTGTTCTCAGAGACACACTGGGACCTTTCACATCTCACTGTCACTTCTTGGAAGGGCTCTCTACCTCGTCTGCCTGCTGAGCAACCTCTTGGGGAGACACGGGCCCTCTTGAGTCACTGAACTTGAGCTATTTGGTGTTGGTATGTTAATTTATCTTCTTAGACCACTTACCACTTCTTTAACTTCAAAAGAGAAGAATAAGTATTATTTTCCATGGTTGATATGAAGAGTAGAAATAACTTATACAAAATGCATTGCAGTTAAGTGATAATAAATGGCCGTGAATGCCCTTATTAATGTTATTCTATCAGTCTCGGCTCAGATACCATCTGCTCTGTAAGCTCTGCTCTGAATCATATCTGCTTCTTCTCTGGGTTCCTTGTGCTCTGTTCTTAACTACTTTAAAGCAGTAATTGTTCTGATTCTAATTAGTGATCCTTCCCAATAAAATTTTAAATTTGTAGATCTCTTCCCCCCACCCCTGCCCCAGCCTAACCAGTGTTTTCTTACTTTTTTGTGTACAGGCTACATCACTGGTCTTTCATTTGTGGCTAAATAAATGTTGTGTTAGAAGAGTAAAGAGTTCCCAGTTACATGGGATCTATAGTTCTACAAAATGAATGTATACATAATCCATGTAAATATTCCACTTATTTTAAAACAATTTTTTAATTTTTAAATTAAATTTAATTTGTGCATGTGTGTGAGACCAGAGATGGCGGCGGTGAGGGGCGGTGGTCTCACCATGTTGCCCAGGCTGGTCTTGAACTCCCCTTGAAGTGCCCCCCTCCTCACCTGGCCCCCCTCACCTTGCCTCCTCCCCCTCACTCCTATGCCAGTCCCTGCCATTCCCTACCCCCTCTGCTGACCGCAAGACTCAACAAGTGACTTGCTGAGCAAACCCTGCTGAGAAGAGGTCTGTTTAGGGACACAGGAGGCCAAGTACACAAAAAAGCAAAAGAACTAGCATGACTTTTTCAATGGATGTCTATTTTACAGGGCTGGCTTCAGATTATTGTTATAGCTTTAAATAAAAGGACCGTTTTGTCATCTCGGCCCATGGCCTACATTATTTCTTTACTGTCCATTGCCCTGGGCGCTTGACTAATAATTTAACAGCAATTTTTTTTTAAAATTTTAAATCATGATTCATCGCATTGCTGTAAGAGTAATTAGAGGTAAATTAGGGCTTGAAACTGCCTGTAGTGGGTTACTTTCTGAGATCTTAGCATAATTATCAGGTGAGAGGGTGAAGTTTTAATTAGCGCTAAGTGGGATAGAAATTCAATGCACTGAAACTGCAGTGTCCAATTCAGTAGGCGCTAGCCACCTGTAACTATTGAGCACTTGAAATCCTGGCTAGTCCTAATTGAGATGTGTTGTGTTAAATATACTGGATTTTGTCATTGGAGTGGGAAGAACAGCGTAGAATATCTGCTTGATAATTTTTTATATTGATTACATGTTAAAATTATTACTATGATTACTATTTGGGACATACTGAGTTAAGTATATTTAAAATTAATTTCACCTTTTAATGGGGCTTACTAGTACATTTAAAATTACATATGTGGCTCACATATTTATTGGACAGCACGGCTCTAGAAGTTTAGGAAGAAATAAGAAAAATATTGAGAATAGGTAGCAACAGTAGGAAGTTTGACCTCCTGTAAGACTGATTCCAATAAAACTAATAGGTGATAGTTTTAATTGGCTTTTTCCTACTAGAAAAAGTAAGTGTACTTTACATGTCTCTTTGTTCTCCCTCTTTCCCCTTCAATTTAGTGGTTAGCGTGTATTTACTATATCAGGCTTAATATTCACTAAGCAGTGTTAAGAAGACTTAGGTAAATGATTCCCTGATGAACACACTTGATTTTCAAAGCACTTTCCTAACCCATTTTTAATTGGAATAGAGTCAAAGGTAGATGGCTTATTATTAGTCATCTCATTTAAACCTCATGGAATTTTCCTGCTAAATCTCAAAGTAAACAATTTGTTATAGGCTGTTTTGTCAAGTGCATGGAAGGGACAGCATAAGACATGTGGTACTTCATTTCAAAATTGCTTGAGATGGTTTTCATTATAATCATACATTATTTGCTTCTGGTTTTCCAGAAAAGCCAGCTAAACCTGTGGTTCATTTAGATATAAATGAAATATCCTCAAAGGATTGCTCAAAGTGACTTATGCAACTTGAATATATATTTTTTTCTGTAGGGTGTTTATTCCAAATTATCTGGCCATTTGTGGCAATTTGCAGTTTTTTAGAAAACACCAAATATTTTTCAAGTTAGAGATGTTTTAATAAAAACAGTCATATTGAACTGGAAGCAGCCAAATAAAATGGTCCTTTATTTCACAGTTGAGAATTTGAAATTGGAAGGTAATTAACATATGTAAGGATGATGTATTTGCTGCCTGGCTTATAGGAATGAGCCAAGGTGTTTTTTGAGGGATGTTGTTGCTGTGTATGTCCCACCTATTTTGCTTCCTTAATGAACAATGCAAGTTTGAGACAGAAATATTTGAGAACATTTTTATCAGTTGCGACATTTTGATAGTGAACATTTTATATCTTCTGTAAACTTAAAATGTTTGCATCTTCTGTCTGCTTAAAATGTTTAATTTGTTATACCCAAATAATTTGGCTATAATTGATAATTTAATTTATCAAATTAAATTGTTTTTTTTCCCTTTAGACTTTCTTCAGTCACATCTGAATAAATCACTTAGAAGTAAGCTAGATGTAATATAATGAAATGCTTAAAAGGGCTGTGTATCTTCATATTACACTTACAGTGACTTTCTGCTGTACCCATTATATTCTACCTGCAGCTAGTTGAGGTAAAGAGAGGGCATTTAACTGTCAAGGGGACCTGTTAGGAGACTGTAGAAATCTGGAAAGTCTCTTGGGTCTTTGAGGGATTTTGGGATGCAGAGAGTGGGGCTGGGATCTCTGGCTAGGTTGGAGCCAGCCTGCATTTGTATCTTTATCTTGGAAGCAAACTTAGAATGCAGAGATAGATGTGGCCTGGATGCTGCTAACTCTAGCCAACCACTAAATCTTAAGGTGGGAGAGATGCAGGCTTTGGCTGGGTGCTAAGCTGCTGTAGCTGGTTGAATGTAGAGGTCACTATCTTTTCTGAATACTTGTAAGTAAATTAAATCATTCTCTACTCCTGTATGCCTGCCAACCAAATGGGAAATCGCTATAGAAAAGATGGCTTAAATTTTAGTCTTTGAAGTGGTTAATGCACGTTTCTGGAATCAAGATTTAATGTGGACTTGGATTGGATATTGAATATTTTTGATTTGTCTACTTTTCTCTCCATAGGGAGCTTATAGCTTCATTGCACTGTGTGTGACATTTGGGTCCTGTTTGGCAGCAATGACTGCCTTTCTGTTTAGTGTCTGTGTGCTATGAAGATTGCACACAGGGGTCCAGATGCATCCTGTTTTGAGAATGTTAATGGATACACCAGCTGCTGCTTTGGATTTCACCCATTGGCGGTTTCTATAAAAACTTTAGACACAGTGAGCCACTCTTCTCACGGAATGGTGGAAACCCTCCCAATTCCAATTTCCTAAACACCAGCCAAGGGCCAGCCTTGCATGCAGGCCTTTCTAAGGATGGCAGTCTCTTGCCTGTTATATGAAATCTTTTCTGCACACTTTGTATAACCCCAACTTAATTTTTGGTGTTGTTTTAAAATTTCATTTTAATAACATAATATTATAAGATAAGGTAACTTGGTACTAATTTCTGTTGTATGATCCATCTTAAGTTGCAGCGCTGGTTACTTTTTTGACTTTCAGTGACGAACAGCTATTTGTACATAAGTTACCATAGCAATTTAGGTAATTATAATCTGTCCTATTTATCTCATTTACCTTTCAGTAAAATTGTTAAATAAGCAAAATAATTTCTGAGTTAAAATTAGAATAAAAATTGTCTTTTATTTGGATTACATGAATAATCTAGTTTTCATATTGTGCTAAAGCCCTGCTTAGAATTATGAAATAAGATAAAATATTCAATCATTTTTATCAATATTTTCTTACCTAAGCATGCAATTAAATTTATTTATTTTATATACTTCAATTTGAGAAATAATGACCACATGTTGTTACTTTGGTCTTCAATGATCTCTAATTTTTAGGGTCGCCATGTCTTGCTTAAATATATCATAGTAACAGGTTCAGTGAATATCTTTATTTTTAATTTTATTTACTTATTTTTTTTTGAGACAGAGTTTTGCTCTTGTTGACCAGGCTGCAGTGCAATGACACAATCTTGGATCATTGCAACCTCCACCTCCCAGGTTCAAATGATTCTCCTGCCTCAGCCTCCCAGGTACCTGGAACTACAGGCATGCACCATCATGCCCGGCTAATTTTTTATATTCAGTAGAGATGAGGTTTTACCATGTTAGTCAGACTGGTCTCGAACTCCTGACCTCAGGTGATCCACCCACCTCAGCCTCTCAAAGTGCTGGGATTACAGACTTGAGCCACTGCCCCCAGCCATCTTTTTTATTTATTTATTTTAATTGTTGTTCTGGAAATCCTGGGATGCATAGACAGTGAATATCTTTTTTGTTTTTTGAGACAGAATCTCACTCTGTCTCCCAGGCTGCAGTGCAGTGGTGCTATCTTGGTTAACTGCAACCTCTGCTTTCTAGGCTCAAGCGATTCTCCTGCCTCAGCCTCCCGGGTAGCTGAAATTACAGGTGCCAGCTACCATGCCCAGCTAATTTTTGTATTTTTATTAGAGATGAGGTTTTGCCATGTTGGCCAGGCTGGTCTTGAACTCCTGACCTCAGGTGATCCACCCACCTTTGCCTCCCAAAGTGCTGAGATTACAGGCATGAGCCACTGAGCCCAGCTGAATATTTTTTTTAAATCAATAACCTTATTTCTTAGAGTAGTTTTAGGTTCACAGCAAAATTGAGAGGAAGGTACAGAGATTTCTCATATATCCCATGCCTCCCACACACGCATAGCCTCCCCCATTATTAGTATTTTCCACCAGAGAGTGGTCCATTTGTTACAACTGATGAACTTACATTGACACATTATAATCACTTGAAGTTCATAGTTTACATCAGGCCTCACTCTTGATGCTGTACATTCTGTGAATTTGGACAAATATATAATGACATGACATGTATCTATTACTGTAATATTATCGACAGAACAGTTTCACTGCCCTAAAAATTCTCTGTGCTATGCCTGTTCATCTCTCCCTTTCTCCCTAGCAACTCGTGACAACCATTGATGTTTACTCTGTCTTCATAGTTTTACTTTTTTCAGAAGAGTCATATAGTTGGAATAAGAAGAGTGGATATCTTTTTGAGTAGTTAAAAAATTAAAGCTCCATGGCAGTTGAATGTAGTCATTTAAGATGTTCTTTGTCCTTTTGTTTTTCTTTTGCTTCTTTATCATTGTAAAGAATGATGTATTCTGATGAGATATGATTTACATACTTAGAAAACATGATTTGTATAGATATGTGGCACATAATAGAAAGGGTTGAGGAAAAGGACACCACGCCGTACTACACAGCACAACCTGGAGCATCTTGCTCTGTGAGGTGGGTCCAGATAGACTCTTTAGCAATGGAAGAGGACAAGTGCAAAGTGTTGTGCTTTATAAAACTGGAATCACAAAGTCTTTCATACTTACATTCGGTTGGAAATAAGACCAGGCATGAATGCTATTAGGTAAATACATAAGTTCCTCACTGATCCTCTTCCTTTGAGGGATGAGGTTGACAACAGCCTGTATTATGATGGCATGACTCACCTACAACTAGATTCTGTCATGAGAGATGACAAGGGAGTTTTGCTTTATGCGAGGTGAAAAAAATTTTTTCTCCTACTAGGGAGATGGGCAAACATTAGAACATTCTGGTAGTAAAAGGGCATTGATAGTTTCCTTTCTATATATTTTTTCACATCAGATAATATTGCCCGGCAGCCTGCCATACCTCCCCAGTGTTTATTCAGCTTCTCTCTGAATGTGGATAAGCTCTTAAAGGAGTGATCTTTCCAGTGGTTCTTTCTGTGGGAGGTAAAATGGCAGGTGAATTTGGGGCTTGTTATACGTAGGCCAGAGCAAATAGCTACAACTAAGGAAACCACCCAGCACCTTACCCAGAAGAGTATTAGCCAGAGTAACACACTGATCTCTCTTGAGATCTTCTCCACTGGTGGCTGGAAAGTATTTGCAAGGATTCCTGTTTCTGGTCTGATTCCTATGTTTTGTTGGTTTCTGGCGATAGCATGTTTTATTCTAAACTAAACAGTTTGATCTGAAGAGCTAGAGAGGCTGTGTGGTGTTATAACAAAATAAGTGCAGTAACTACACCTTAACTGTGGGAGATACATTTCAAGACCCCCAGTGCATGCATGAAACCATGAATATTACTGAATCACAAGCTGTTTTTCCCTATACATACATATCTATGACAAAGTTTAATTTATAAATTAAATTAAATCTGATGTTATCTGTAGATAGGGTGTGAGAATTGAATTGTGTCATCAGCAGGAATGATTGCTTGTTTGTTGGTGGGGAAAAACTCTCCACACATTTGGTTACAGAAGCCTTCTTTGTTGATGATTGTTGCTGTGGTGTGACAGCAGAGAAAAACGTGTCAAGTATGTCTTTCTGCGCATATAGTGGATAAGGGGTACTAGTGTATACTCTGTTGTAATGGCCCCTCATATTTTGGTCCAGAAATCATGCTCTTTGACACTGTTGACTCATCACACCTGTTCTGCTAACAATACCATTTTTACTCAATCTCATAGGCTTTGGCTAGGATGACTTGTATACTTCAGTTCACTTGTAGATACCAAATTTTAATAAATTTATTCTTCTTTGCATCTAATAAATACAGAGGGAAGAGTTCTTACTGCATTAATTACCTACCAATACTTATAATGAATGTTAATTCTAATAAGTTCCCAGGCATGCTCCCAAAGGAATGCTTTGTAACAAAACGTCAGTCTTATGCTTTAAAAAACCAAACCAAACCAAAACAACAACAACAACAAAAAACAGGATCTAAAGCATACACACAAGTGTGCACAATTTTTTTATGAAGGTAGAGTCTTACTATGTTTCCCAAGCTGGTCTCAAACTTCTGGGCTCCTCAAGTGATCCTCCTGCCTCATCCTCCCAAGTAGTTTGGATTAGAGGCATGCATCACTGTGCATTCTTATGATTTTAATATTCTGTACATTTATTATTGATTTAAAATGCATTTTACCTTTTTCTTTAATAGATGTTGGAATTTCTGATGAATCTGCAGTCAGGTAAGATTTCATAGATTTAAAAAATTATGTTAACTAAGAAAATATAGATGGAAGAAACTAATATCTGTTGAGTGTTGTATTCTGGGCTAGACATCCTAATATGTTCTATGCATTTATCATCTCATAAAGCCATCATAACATCTGTGTTCCTATAACCTACTGTTAAATAAACAACTATGGATTAGAGCTGATTAATTGCCTCATGATCCCATAGTTAACAAAGTAGCTGGCCTACAGTTTGACCATCAGCCTGCCTGCCTTCCAAATCCTTTCTCTTGCTCCTCAGCATAGATTGATAGATATCTGTGCAGCCCTTGGATCAAAGTATAGGTCTGAATCAGATCAATCAGATTCATTAATTTGATTAACTTCTAAATTAATGAGAGTTTAAATACCTTGAACTCTCATTTAAGTTTATTGTTAGAATGTGGTTAGTCCTAATAAATTTGACGATTTCAGTGGTAACCAGTATCTTATTTTTACCTTCAAAGGCTCTAGGGCAGATCTGACTTAGCTTTGGCCATAGGACTGTAAGTTTTACCAAAGCAAGTTTAGGCAAGTCTTAGAGACAAATTATTTGACTTCACAGTTTGGTTTTCCATTTAGGCAAGTATTTCTGCTTACTTCCATAATACATTTTTTAGTCTTGTTGCTTTTTCCATGACTTTTATATAATCTTGTCCTCATTTTTTAAAACTTTCTTCTCTGTTTTTCTTGGTGTTTCTTTTGTTCTATTATTTTTTCAAACTCTGCTGCCTATGTATTCCAAGTTTTTCTATAGACAGAATCAAGAGGACATAGAATTACAGAATTTTAAGGAATCTTGGAATGAATTAAAATACCTTCTAGTATTTTTCTCTGCGTTGAACATTCTGGTCAAGTGATTCTCTAGATAGAGAATGTGAGGCTCAAAGAGATTACGAAGCTTTTTTTTAGACATAGGAATTGGCAGAAATGAGATTTGAACTCATGGTAAAGCCCAGTACTCTTGCTTCTTTCTATGTCCTATTGGCGTGTGTTTTAATAATACAAACGGAAGTGAGTCTGTGGATAGAATGAGAATGGAATTAGCTGGTGAACCCAATGGAAGTAGATAAGAATGGAATGAGCAGGGGAAGTCCAAGTTTGAAGATAAACAACACTGGATTGGATAGGAGTACGGACTCTTCTACAAGAGATCAAAGTATTGGGGTTTATGACAAGTTTGATAAAGATAAATTATAAAAATGAAGGACACAAGATGTTGGGAATTATCTACAAAGGCACATTAAAATAGAAGGTTCAAGGGAGCTCTAAAAATTTTGCTGCTTTTTTTTTTTTTAAATCAAGGACTGACAAACTTGAAGATTTTTACTGAAAGATGCCAAAACATTTTGAGACACTGGGAAGAATGTCTACAGCAGATAGAAATGTGGTGTCATCTACTTCCATCCTGACTTACAAAGGGGTGGCTTAGAGCCCCTGGAGTACTAAGGGGATGGAAATTGCTGAACTACATAGATGTGTGGCACAGGGCAGGTGTCTCCTCACCTCTGCCTCTTTTCACAGTTCACTGATGTCCTTCCCATGTCCATGTGGGCTGGGTCAGGGGCATGATTAGCTGGAAAATCAGTCATGGAGTTCAGTTGGGTAGTTGGTAGTGTGTATAGCTGGTGGCAGGTGATGGAGACTCCAGTTAGCTTGTTTTTCAGGAGCAGGGATATAGAGAGCTCCTACTCCTGGTCATTTGAGGCCATTCTTTCAGGAATCTGTGCTTTCATACACTGAAGATTTAAAGATTGGAGACTTCTGTGGAACCCTGCAGAAGTAGAATCTGGAAGTGGGTGTCCATAGGAAGAAATATACTTAGATAGTACTTAGGGAAATAGAGGTACAACTATCATGACTCTGTTTCTTTTCTGGCAGTCTCTCTCCTTGGGTGTCTGAGTGCCTATGAAAATTTTTAAGGGATTGCTAGTTTATGTGGACCTGAATAAGGTAGGACCTATAGAGTGAAAATAATAGGATTTTATAATTGTGAATATTTTAATCTTTCTGGGAAAAGTATTCTCAATAAGAACATACATCTTTGCTATTTGACTTCTGTACATTTAGCTTTCATACATTTCAAATATTGTGTTGGTTTTCCTGTACCAATTTAGGGTAAAGGAAAGCAATAGGACCTTCCTAAGTTGGATCCATGCTGAGGAATCAAGACTACCATTTTGAAGTGATGTAGATTAGTCTTTTATCCAGAGACAGATCATGGAAAAGAGACAGTGGATCTTTCTACCTTGTTTTAGGTCATCAGTTTTATTCCAGTTTAGGGAACAAAATTTATGTCATCCATTAATTGAATTTTAAGTTCAGCTTCAGGACAGATAATTTGTGAGGGCACATTATTGTCAGGCTCTGCCAATATATTGACTGTCACTATTTGTTATAAACCTCAAGGTTAGTTTTCATTGAATATTTTATAGATTTAGACAGGTGGAGGCAGAAATAGGTAACTAAAATCTCTTTTTAGAACAGAGGACATATTTTAATTATATCAAGAATCGTAATTTAATATATAGATCACTGACTTTTCCCCAGATTATGTTTTCCTTTTTTTGAGGGGGAAGCTGGATATAAACTGGCAGTTAAAAAAATTGTAAAGAAATCAACTTGCTCATTTTCATTGTGTATTTTTGCTCTCAAGCATTTTGCATGAACTGTGTGTGGATTCATTGCCTACATTGGATGATGAAGACTTGAGTGTTGCTACTAAGGTAAAGTGGTCTCTTGTAAAATTAATCTTCTCACTCTGGGTGTAGTTTTGCATAGTATTTACTTTTCAAATTTAGCAGTGGTTTACCTATCATTGTTTTATGGTGGTAATGGAAAGCTGGTCAGAGAAAAACATACACATGGCTAGTTGATTCAAAAAATGTGTTTAACTTTGGTAACTAATAAAGATTGGTAAGTACTGTGACAGGGTGGGAGCTGAAAAATAAATGAACTGGAAAATAAGTAGTCACAGGAAAATCACATTAGGAAATGCTTTCTCCAATAGAGGAAATATGAACTTTGGTTAAAGTTTATTTGGATAAATACTAATACTTTGACTTTTAAATCATACGAGTGTGACTTTCTTAATATTTATTCCTGTATAAACCTTCAGTGGATCAAATTGTTTGCAGTAATCATGGAATCCTCCTGGTAATTTTTAGTGGCAGAAATGTTCAGCACATAGCATATAGCTTTTGTTCTTGGAAACTTATCATTTTGGTGTCATATAGTTTTTAGGAGAGATTGTTTCTCTACTTATATTATTGGTTCTGTAGTGAGACTAAAAAAGTATTAAAAGTTGTAGAAAAATAGCTGAGTTTGGTGGTGTACACCTGTAGTCCCTGCTACTTGGGAGTTTGAGACAGTAAGATTGCTTGAACACAGGAGTTTGAGAACAGCCTGGGTAACATTGTATCTGATTTAAAAATATAAATTGTGGAAATGTAGAAATTTAAATTTATGTTCTCAAGATTTGTATTGCAAAGGGATTTTTATGTGATTTATGAGTTGTCCATGAAGAGTTTATATAAAACACTTCATCTAATTGAATAACATGTATTTTCCTGCAAATAACCAGTTCTAGAAGCAGAGACTCTTAATACCAATATGGTAAGTCTTTATCATCATAATTTTGTCATTGTAGTTTATTTAAAATATTTACTTGGCCAGGCGTGGTGGCTCACACCTGTAATCCCAGCACTTTTGGAGGCCGAGGTGGGTAGCTCACCTGAGGTCAGGAGTTCAAGATCAGCCTGGCCAACATGGTGAAACCCTGTCTCTTAAAAAAAAAAAAAAAAAGCACAAAAATTATCCAAGCATGATAGTGCATGCCTGTAATCCCAGTTGCTCAGGAGGCTAAGGCAGGAGAATCGCTTGAACCCAGGAGGCAAAGATTGCAGTGAGCCAAGATCGCACCATTGCACTGTAGGCTGGGTGACAGAGCAAGACTACATCTTAAAAAATAAAATAAAATAAAATAACCACTCAAAGTCCTTATATCATATTCTGAAAGTTTGAATGTCAGAAGGTTTTCTATTTAGTTTTTTAAATGATCATTGGAACTCCTGCATACCATAAGCTACTGGAGGTCAGTAAACATATTTGTGTGTATCCTGGAGTACCTAGAATACAGTCTTCCATGTAAGAAGCATTTTACTTGTTGTTTTTTGAGATGGGGTTTCACTCTGTCACCCAGGCTGGAGGGCACTGGTGAGATCTTGGCTCACTCCGATCTCCATTTCCTAGGCTCAGGTGATCCTCACACCTCAGCCATCCAAGTAGTTGAAACAATAGAGCTATGTCACCATAGACCTGTGTCACCATGCTGGGCTGAGTTTTGTAGAGATAGGGTTTTGCCTTGTTGCCCAGGCTCTTCTTTAATTGTTGGGCTCAAATGTTCTGCTCGCCTCAGCCTCTCAAAGTGCTGGGGTTACAGACATGAGACATTCAGCCTTAATAGTTGTTTAATCTGAATAAATAAACAAATGAATTTTTATATAATGGAATGTTATAAGTAATATAATAAACCTAATGTATCCAATCATTAAATATTGTATTTAAAATATTGCTTACATTGTATTATTTTTTAATATTTAACGGTGTATAAGTTTTGACATGTTATGTTGAGAATTTATGCCATAATTAAAAAGGAAATAAAATAGAAATAGGTCATCGGTAGCAAAGAGGGTTACAATATATTTTCTAGTATCATTCAACTGGAATCTTAACATTGAGATTTTAGATTAATATTTCTTAAGCTTTTTATTAGACCCAACTCATGTTCCATTAAATACACCATTTCAAGCCATACATTACTCTTTATTATTATTATTATACTTTAAGTTCTAGGGTACATGTGCACAACGTGCAGGTTTGTTAAATATGTATACATGTGCCATGTTGGTGTGCTGCACCCATTAACTCGTCATTTATACTAGGTATATCTCTTAATGCTATTCCTCCCCTCTCCCCCCACCCCATGACAGGCCATGGTGTGTGATGTTCCCCATCCTGTGTCCAAGTGTTCTCATTTTTCAGTTCCCACCTATGAGTGAGAACATGTGGTGTTTGGTTTTCTGTCCTTGGAACAGTTTGCTCAGAATGATGGTTTCCAGCTTCATCCATGTCCCTACAAAGGACATGAACTCATCATTTTTTATGCTGCATAGTATTCCATGGTGTGTAAGTGCCACATTTTCTTAATCCAGTCTATCATTGATGGGCATATGGGTTGGTTCCAAGTCTTTGCTATTATGAATAGTGCTGCAATAAACATACATGTGCATGTGTCTTTATAGCAGCATGATTTATAATCCTTTGCATATATATCCAGTAATGGGATGGCTGGATCAAACAGTATTTCTAATTCTTGATCCTTGAGGAATCTCCACACTGTCTTCCACAATGGTTGAACTAGTTTACAGTCCCACCAACAGTGTAAAAGTGTTCCTATTTCTCCACATCCTCTCCAGCACCTGTTGTTTCCTGACTTTTTAATGATTGCCATTCTAACTGGTGTGAAATGATATCTCATAGTGGTTTCGATTTGCATTTCTCTGATGGCCAGTGATGATGAGCATTTTTTCATGTGTCTGCCATACATTACTCTTTAGAATTCTGGTGACCAATTCTTTTTCTGGGTGGAAAGTTGATGGAAAGTTCCAGTTTTCTCTCTCTGTTATAATAATGTTCTTTCAGGTAATGGTAGATGACCATATTTAGCTAATTGAATGTCTTATAGTAAGAAACACTATCACAGAAGTACTTACAAAAAACTAATTGCAGCATAAATATTAATTAGTATTATCAGAGTTATGAAAGACCGAAGGCTCTGTTATAGATCTATTTCCCCATGTACTTTATTGTACTTCATGTTTTTCGTTTTCTTTCTTGGCTTAAGCTCATATTTCATTGACTAATTAGGCTTGTTTTTTGTTTGTATCTCTCTTTTAAATTGAAATTTTTGGGGAGGCAGGGTCTTGCTCTGTTGTCCATGCTGTAGTGTAGTGGCATGATCTTGGCTCACTGCTGTATCCACTTCTCAGGCTCAAGTGATCCTCCCACATCAGCTTCCCAAGCAGCTGGGACTACAGGCACACACCTTCATGCCTGACTCCTTTTGGTATTTTTTGTGTAGAGATGTGTTCTCATTATGTTGGCCAGGCTGGTCTCCAACTCCTGAACTCAAGCAATCCACCCACCTTGGCCTTGCAAAGGGCTGAGATTACAGGTGTGAGCCACCATGCCTGGGCAACATTGAGATTGATTTAAAGAAATTGATTAGGGCTGGGTGTGGTGGTGCACACTGCTTATCTCAACATTTTGGGAGGCAGAAGTGGAAGATTTGCTTGAGCCCAGGAGCTTGAGACCAGCCTGGGAGGTATAATGAGGCCTTGTCTCTACAAAGATAACAATAAAAACATTAGCATGACATGATGGTATGCACCTGTAGTTCCAGCTATTCAGGAAGTTGAGGTGGGAAGATTGCTTGAGGTCAGGAGTTTGAGACCACAGTGAGCCATAATCAGGCCCCTGCATTCTAGCCCTGGGTTGACAGAGTGAGACCCAGTTTCATAAAAAGAGATTGATAAGAAACTCTTGATGCAACTCATTATAATTTTAAATGGAAACTAATTCTTGATATTACCTTAGCAGTGTGTCCCCAAGAAAGTGTCAGAGCCTTTACGTGGACCTTCTCATGAAAAAGGAAACAGAATAGTCAATGGAAAAGGAAAAGGTGAGAACCGTATTTTATTTAAAAAGTCATTTGATGGAGACCAGGCGCGGTGGCTCACGCCTGTAATTCCAGCACTTTGGGAGCCCTAGGTGGGCGGGTAATGAGGTCAGGAGATCAAGACCATCCTGGCTAACATGGTGAAACCCCATCTCTACTAAAAACACGAAAAATTAGCCGGGCATGGTGGCAGGTGCCTGTAGTCTCAGCAACTCAGGAGGCTGAGGCAGGAGGATGGTGTGAACCTGGGAGGTGGAGCTTGCAGTGAGCGGAGATCGTGCCACTGCACTCCAGCCTGGGTGACAGAGTGAGACTCCATCTCAAAAAAAAAAAAGGCATTGATGGAATGTTTCTTTTAAAATATGAGCACTAATAGAGTTTAATAGCTAAAGAAAATGTCCTATTAACTGTATCATAAGTAAAAGAGAAATGAAATGGTGATAAGTGGTGTCTCTAACCAAGGGTCAGCAGTTGATTCTATTGGAAGTACCACTAAAGGAGGTGAGTTATGAGTTCCATTTTAACATACTCTAAGACCTGAGGCAAGTCAGGAGAGAGGGAAGAGGAAATGAATAAAAGAGAAAGAAAGAATGAGGAGGGCAGAGTGTACATGGAATAAATAAAAAAAAGTGGATGTATGTAATGGAGGGTAGTAAAGTCAAATTGATCTGTAGAAGAAGGAAGAACAGGGTGTTAGAAATAGGAAGGAAGATAAAGTGAGCTTCCAGTACCAAAATGTGTCATATAATTACAGTAACATTTTCCTTCTCTTGCTGTCATTCTCGCTACTGGGGAGGCATTAAGGATTGAGGTACTTTACCATGCAGACCTGTGTTTTATCTACCATAGATGAACATCACCATAAATGGTCAGCCATGTATGACTGTAATTTGTTTTCATAGAAAATGTTGTAACTTCATAGGATAGTATCATATTAACATAATTGAAAAGAATAGTGTTGGGTGATTTATTGGGAAGAAATTAATTAGAGAAGCTTTGCCTGATTAAAAGTTCATTAGAAACATTATGGCTTATAACGTAGTATTAAATTCAGGGACATAATAGGAAAGAAGTTGAGGCTAGGCCAAAAAGGCCAATTAGGGTAAACCAATATGGAAGCACACCAGTGTAGAACAAGGCATTCAAATTGTCATGAATACGTTGAGGAGCTTCTGGAAAGTGCACATTCTGACTCAGCAGGTATTGGAGTCTGCATTTCTCATGAGCACTCAGGTGATGTTTGTGCTGGTCCTTGGACACAGCTCTGAATAGCAAGGGAATAGCCTTCCTTTAGAGAAATCTGGAAAAAGAACCACTGGAGAGCAATTTAAAAGATAACAGAATCCAGGGAAAGCTTTAATTTCCTTTTATTTCTGAGCATGATTCTAGCCACAGGGGAAGGAAAATGAGATGAAAAAAGAGAGATTACAGGTGTATACTACTGCTGAATACAGATGAAAAAAGTGGTCACAATCATCCATAAAAAGCAGTTAGGAAGGGAAGCATCAGGATGACAGTTCTGATAATCATTTTTTCAAAGGAAGAGGGATGGTGAAAGGACACAAAAGGAGGAAAGAAAGACATTTGCTGGGGTCTTGGGAGTTAAAGCCAAGTTAACTTGAGACAACTCACTTCCAGTTGCTTCAGCATATGCCCAGTCTCACAAAAGAGGTTATTGCTGTGGAGAGTACTGGAGACAGGAGGGAGTGCTAGAGTTGGGGTAAACCACAGCAGCTCATTTCACTTGATAACTGTCAGGCCTCAGGGAGAGAAGTTTCACTGACATGAGTGAATAAGATATGATTAAGTTGCATATAGATGCTTTGGTGAAATTTTTTTGAGACAGCCAGTTCTTCGATATGATAGCTGTTTTATAAAAGTCCTTTACAGTGTAAGATAATATACCAAACTCAGTTAATTTTAGAAGTAATCATAAAATTCATTCCATGAAAACCAAAATTATCATTTTCAATAAATACTGCACTGATTTTGAAATATAAATATGTATTAATATCCAGCAAGTCTGTGGTCATTCAATGTTTTCTTTTTTGATAAATATTTTCATATCAGAAGCTTATTCGACATGGTTTATTTGATGTGTTTTATGGACCACCTTGCATGAGTGGATCAAGGAGCTCTAATTCAAGGCCAAATGAGGGGATAGGAGAAATGTAGGTGCTGCAGTAGCCCATGTGATCATGGGAAAAATGAGTAGTTTGATTAGCTGTTATTTCATAAGTGTGTATCCTAGCTGATCAATGTAGAACCCTTTCTTTGATGAGAGGTGAATCACACATTCACCTGAACTGTCATCCCAACTGCGTATTTCCTCAGTGACAAGACAAGGGGAATTTATTTGTGCTGTGCTGGCAGCAATGCCTCTGGTGTGTGGAGTTAAAATACTCTGTACATTCACCATCAGCTTTGACATTGATTCTCTCAGGTTTGATTTGCCCCTCTGTTTAATGGTCCCTTTTCTCCTCATCAGTCCACATGTTCACGGTTATATCAATGCTTTTCTATTTTAAGTATAGGCATTTGAAACATAATCTCACTACTGAAATATAAACTGTGCATTTTGGGAATCCTATATTCCTATTTTCCTCATTGTGTTTCTGTCATGTTGCTGTCCTAGGCAATGAAAAGAAGAAGCCAAGAAGAACCCTCAAAACCTTAAGTAATTATTTTTATAGCCAGGCCTGAGAATTCAGCTCGACAGTAACACTGCATGAATGTTTGGTTGGCCTTGTCATACTTACATATAATTGATGACATATCCCCTTTGCTTTGTAGGGCCTCCTGCAAAACATCCTTCCTTGAAGGTAATTAATTATGTATATTTTTGAATCACTAACTCCATGTTGTATAAAATATATATGATTTATGAATCGTTATCTTTTAAAACCCATTCAGCCTAGCACTGAAGTGGAAGATCCTGCTGTGAAAGGAGCAGTACAAAGAAAGTATGTACAGACATTGAGAGCAGGTACATTTAATGGAATACTGGAAATAAAGTACATTCAATGATTGGATGTACTCATATTATTCTTATTCCTAATTCTATTTGTTCAATATTGAACAGAAGGCATTGACATAAATGTTATTGTTGGTATCCATATTTGAATAAAAACAAATTTAGAAGCATAAAAAAGATTTTAAAAATGTAAGCTTTAAGTCAGATGTTTCTGTTTAAATGTTTTGAATAGCATGAAGTTTTCAGTATAAAATTTTTATACTTGTCAGGGATTCAAAGCAGTGAATTTTGAGACTCTTAAGATATTTCCAGTGAGTTAAGTGCTAGTTGGAGTTCTGATCTTTACCTAGAGGAAAGCTTTACTTATTAAAGTGTCAGTTTCTGTTTTAACTTCAGAGGCTTGCTGCTAGTGTTATTACACTGATGATCTGAAACCTATCAGATGTTCTAATGAGCAAGACTGTGTGTGTAGGTGTATATATAGATGTGTGTATGCGTGCGCTTGTGGCATCTTTGACTATTACAAATGACGAAAGTAATGATTCATTTATGACTGGTAGACACAGTCTTTTAAAATGGTGATTTTGAGCCTTTTTGGTGTTAAAGTTTTTAAAACATGATTGCATAGAGGCTACCAACATCATAAGTTGGTTGTTTTTCATTTCAATGCCCTTTTGAAATCTTTAATTACATTGTGATGCTCAGAAATAATATGCAGAATTTTTTGTGTCCTAAAATGGTATGTGAGTGGTTATACACTTTATATACCTTTCTGCCACTTTCTTTGGTGTGTTTTGTATTATATTTTCCACTTGTACCCACATTGGTGTGATTATCCCTGGTTTAATTCATTTTACACTGTTCATTGTATTCCCTCATACCACTTTACCACATTTAGTTAGACTCTCCTGTTGCTGATAAATGAAGAAATAAAAAGAAAAATAATGTCAGATTAAGAGGGCTTTTCTTTAATTGGTTTGTATCTATTAGCGTTTACTATATGAGAGTTTAAACCTGAAAAGTTCAGAATACAAGCATACACCACCATATTTTATTAATACCCTTAGAACTATGACTCATGAGCCTTTAGCCTATGAAGTTAGCACAATTCATTTCTCTGAAGAAGAATGCTGGGCTGTTCTCAGAAAAGAAAACTGAAAATAGCAAATGATATTGTCTTATTTTACCTCTTGGACATCCTTGAATGAAACTGCTACTAAAGGGATACTCGGATCAAAATTCAGATCTAATGTTTTGAACAGTATAGTTTGTGAATGTCCAGTGATCATGAGCCCTTGATGGGGAAATGACCCTTCGAGTTTCACTTTTGCATTCTCTTTTCGTTGACTTGTCTTGAAAGCTTAAATTCAACTATTTTATTTTTACAGAAACCAGGAATATAACTTTTAAAATATATGTCTGTCCTGTCTCACGGTGTTGTGTACTCTTCAGATCTTGTATGAACATAGACTTATATGGGAAAAATTAGGTTGTTTGTTTATTTGTGTTTTTGAGACAGAGTCTTGCTCTGTCACCAAGGCTGGAGTGCAGTGGCTCAGTCTTGGCTCATTACCACCTCTGCCTCTCGGGTTCAAGCAATTCTCCTGCCTCAGCCCCTCGAGTAGCTGATACTACATGCACGTGCTACCATACCCTGCTAATTTTTCTATTTTTAGTAGAGATGGGGTTTCACCAGGTTGGCCAGGCTGCTCTTGAACTCCTGACCTCAGGTGATCTGCCCACCTCGGCTTGCCAATGTGCTGGGATTACAGGTGGGAGTCATTGTGCCAGCTACAAATAAGATTTTTAAGGCTATTATACTTTATACAATTATTTGGTCTATGTGAATTCTGAAGGTATTCATGCATTGAGGGAAGATTATCTCAGTTTAATGAAAGCATTTTTTAATTTAACGTATATTCATTAAAATTTTTTTTGAAGTTTTTGTCTCTAGTACACAGAAACACACAATAATGTCATGGGTATTTGACCTTAATGTGTTTATGCACAAACTTAGTTATTGAAATATTTTCTTATACCTGAAGAATCTTAATTACTAATAAACAAATTTCTCATGGAAAACAACATATATAACAGAGATGGTTGAGTGATTGAAAGTAAACTGTAGTAAATACCAGAAGCTTAGAACAAGTTAAGTAAACTTTTCTGAGTTAATAGCAATTACAAGACTTTTAAAATACATTAGACCACGGGGGAGTAGTGCATTTGTGGGGTAGAGGACAACATGGTACTGCTTCAGTGAAGAAAGAACTTTTACACCTTATTACAATTTGTATTATTATTTACATTCTAATAAATAAAAACTTTATTTTCAGATATTTTACATCATGTTTCTACTAGTTGAACCATCAATAGTAAGACTTTTCAAAGATTTGGGAAGTTGTGAGTTGATGATAAATATCTGTATCACCATCAGTGATAAAAATCAGACAGCAACTACCACAGATTTTGGACACGCGAACTTCATAGTTAAAGAAAGGATTAATCTTGGAGCTGTGTTTCTATCAAGGAATTACACTCTTCTTTACCTGTGTGAATCGCAGTTATTAGAGTAGAAAGAGAGCAAAGAAGGGAAAGAAGCATAGAAAATTTTATTCTAGATTACCTCGTTTGGCTTCATGCTACCATAGTTCTGACTTTTAAAAAGTCATTTTGTGGTCAAATGTACTTTGTGTTTACTCCCCTTATGCAGCCTACAACCAAACAGAATGGTTCTTAGCAAGGCATTTGTATTCTTCCCTTAAGGAAAGCAACATATAAATAACAAAGAGAATGAGAAGAAAGAGTGATTTCATTGAGGTTGGTATTTAACATAAATTTGAGTGCAGGTACCATGATTATATTTAGAATTTTGTGGCTGGATGGGAAAACCAGCTAGATGTCTATAGATTTCCTACTCAAACACAATGTGCCTTTGTTTTACTTTTACGTCTCTAATTTAGCAATTATTAGGTACAACTGTATGCAGTGTCACTAAAAATACCTCCCAAAACCAAATATTAAATAATGTCTATGGCTTTCTGTTTTATAGTGTTTATTTTTGCAATATTAATGGGAACCACTTAGCATTTGCCTTGTGGTGTCTCCTCAGCTGTATTCACATATTCCATCACCTTTTCTTAATGGATAATCATGCACTATGAGTAAGGGTTTTCAGAAAAGCTGTGTCTTTTAAAGATAACACAGGAGCATCAAATTTAATTCTGCTAGGACGCCTGGTCTACTGATTAACTGCAGCTAATATGAGGTCTACTTCACATCCAAGTTAAATTCAGTGCCCTTAATCAGTCATATGATGAGGTCAACAGTAATAAATTATGCAATATTTTTTCACCCACCCCTATAGTTTTAATTTCTTTTTCCCCTTGTGTCTGTGTTTAACATTTTGCTTTGCAAAACATGATGATAATCTTCTAAAGTAGTGAGGACAAGCTATAAATCCAAAGTTTCTTACCTATGCAAATGACTTGTTTGCTCTATTTTCTCATGAGCTTGGTAGATCCAGGAAACATAACTTTTAAAACAAAATCCCCATATATTGCTGGGTGTGGTGGCTAGTGCCTGTAATCCAGCACTTTGGGAGTCTGAGGCGGGCAGATAACCTGAGGTTGGGAGTTTGAGACCAGCCTGACCAACATGGAGAAACCCATCTCTACTAAAAACACAAAATTAGCTGTTCATGGTGGCACATGCCTGTAATTCCAGCTACTAGGGAGGCTGAGGCAGGAGAATCACTTGAACCCAGGAGGCAGAGGTTGCCATGAGCTAAGATCACACCACTGCACTTCAGACTGGGCAGGAAGAGTGAAATTCCATCTCAAAAAACAAAAACAACCACAACCACAACAACCACCACAAAACCCAAATGCATTTCCTTGGCACAGTAAAACTGAAAAGAAAAAGGGTAAAGTAAATACAAGTAACTGAAAGAGTTTATGTATATTATTTTACTTCTCATTTGATAAAATTTGTAAAGTAATGAGCAGAGTGTATTTCTTCAGGGACCCAGATATATACATTTATTTATTCAATAGAAATTCATTCTTATAATGGCCACTGATACCTATATCCTAAATATTTCTGAAAACATCTCCTCAGGCCTGCATCACCTTTGCAACATTGCCTTATATTTTATCTTTGTTCATTGATTTATATGCCTCATAATTTTATGCTCCTCACAGTATTTAGAGTGAATTATCCTTAATGCAAATAGATCCGTGAACCACTCCTGAATACCTAATGTCCAAGCATCTTAAAGGTTTATATAAGGATTTCAGAAACTGACTTCTGGGTTGGGCAAGGTGGCTCATGTCTGTGATCCCAGCACTTTGGGAGGCTGAAGCAAGTGGATCATTTGAGGTCAGGAGTTCAAGACCAGCCTGGCCAACAAGGTGAAACCCCATCTCTAATAAAATACAAAAATTAGCAGGTGGTAGTGGCACGCGCCTGTAATCTCAGCTACTCAGGAGGCTGATGCAGGAGAATTACTTGAACCTGGGAGGCCGGGTTGCAGTGAGCTGAGATCATGCCACTGCCCTCCAGTCTGGGAGACAGAGTATAACCTTGTCCCAAAAAAGAAAAGGAAAGGAAACTGATTTCTGCCCAAATCTCCATCTGTATCCCTTTCCCCATCTGCCTTTTTCTCTGGAATTACTGAGCTGCTGGTAATGGCCCCTCACCATTCCTCTTCTGCAGAGAAATACATACTCTCTTGGAGGCTTCTCTTCCTCTCTTGTTGCCGCCTGGCATGTGCTCACCCTTTCCTGCCCTCTGCCTCGCTTAATCTGGCTAACCTCACTCTCTAAGTCTCAGCTCATGGGTGATCTTTAGGAAAGCCATCCCTGACAGCTTCTATTTTCCTTCCTTATTCCCCAGTGCCTAACACTTAGCAGGAACTCAATAAGTAATTATTTAGCAAAATTAAGACTGTTTATACAAAGATGATTCAAAAGATTGTCCTCTACAGTCTAGCAGCAAAGGGGGTCAACATGTAAAGACATGATGTGCAGGTCAGGTGGTAAAGTGACACTAGAAAAATTGACAAGGTACTAAGGGACCCCAACGAAGCAGACACCTGTGTGTGTGGAGAAAGATAGCTAGAATCAAGGAAGATTTCACATAGCATTCTGAGCCTTTTTTTCTTCCTCTTTTTGGAGACAAGTTCTTACTCTATCACCCAGGATTGGAGTGCAATGGCATGATTGAGACTCACTGAAACCTCAGACTTCTGGGCTCGAGGGATCTTCTCATCTAAGCTTCTTGAGTAGCGGGGACAACAGGAACATATCACCATACCTGTCTAATTTTTTGTAGAGTCAAGGTTACCTATGGTTCCCAGGCTGGTCTTAAACTTTTGGCCTTGAGCAATTCTCCCATTTTGGCCTTCCAAAGTGCTGGGATTACAGATGTGAGCTATTATGCCCAGCCTACTTTCTGAGTCTTAAAAGATGAAAATAAATTTTTCAGAATAGCAGGGGAAAACATTTGTGATATAAAAAATGGGGTGCACACTAATTGAGGTATAAACAACAATAATTTTGCAAATTATTAGTAACTGCTAACTCAATTAGTGTCTTGTTAAAAAGATACTGTTATGAAGTATAGTAAAGCATTACATTGTATATTTTGACTGTATTTCAAATTTCTGTTTTGTTTCCAACAGTTTTGTTGACTTATGTTGGGTGGAACAATTTGTGAGTGTCCCTGAGATTTTGCATGGCTTGAATCTGGTGATATCTGGTGTCTCCCCAAGTGGTTTGTTGAAGTTTTGGATAATTAGAAGTATTTCTTACAGAAGTAAATATTTCAGTAAACATTGTTTCATTCAAACTCTCAAAATATAAAATACAAAGAAATGTTATTCTCTATTTATTTTTATAAAGATTATAGTCTTTATCTAACTCTTCTTAGTTCATTTGAACTAAATCAATGAATTTGTCAACAGAACAAACCTTACCAGTGGCTTTAGAGGAAGAGCAAGAAAGGTGTGAAAGAAGTGAAAAGAAGCAATCACAGGTATATGAAAATTTAAGTTCTTGTTTAATATTAGGTTTTTTTTGCTTTACTAACAAAGCATAGTCCAAATGACATGACCTTTCAGACTATACCTTTAGAATCCAATAGATCATAATTTTATATTTAATTTTTAAAACATCTTAACCAGTTATGAAACTTAAGATATTCTTACTATCTCTAGTAACTATTAGTTATTCTAGTAATTCTTAGTATCTCTAGTAACTCATAGTTGTCTTTACCCTTGGAATTGAGGCAAGAAATTTTCAGAATTATCTTGCTGTTTTATTTATGTAACCTTACTCATAATACACAAGGTAACATGAAGTATTGGGTCATATTACTGAGGAATAGAAATTATGAACAGTTTAACAACAATGGCCACTGAGTTAAACTAGTGTTAAAGGAGTCATCATTGCCAGTGTTTCAAATGTTGCAGTTTTATATTGCTGGTCACCAGTGCCGAGGTTAAAGATTTATTCTGTTTTGTGGTCACCAGCTGACTTCTGTGTCTGTGTTCAGGGAGTGAATGGGGTCATAAAAGTCAATGCAGTTGCCTATTAAGAGAATCCTACCTTGCAGAATGGGACCTTTGGTGTCAGGGTGTGAACAATAACTTTATTTCAACATAAATACATAGTAAACATTACTAAAATTTAAAAAATCCAAACCCTATCACTACCGGAACTTAAAATATATTAGAAGTGGATATAAGCAGAAATTCTATCTAGATACATAACACTATCATAGTATATCATTTGAATTAGAATTTAAAATTTTGCTTCTCTTTCTTATTGGTGTTCAGTTTAGCTCTTAATAATTTAGTGTTTGCCTAGTGCTCTAGTTCATCTTCAGAAATAAACATGCACTGTAGGGGCTCACTCTTTCTGGTATGCTGAGGTAAAGTCTTTGTAAGAGAGGAAGCTTTTATAATACTACCTATCATCTTTGAATTCATTTCTGGTAGATTTTACACAAATGCATTAAGTTTAGTCCAAACAGACACTGAGAGTTCAGCTTGCTGGTTCATGTTTCTGTCCTATGTTAAGCCAAGGCAAATTATTTTTCACTTTTTAGATACAATCCCATAATTTAAGAGTAGCAACACATAGATTAAGTTTCACAGTTAAATTTTAATTATTTTCTAATATTTCTTTGTTTATACTTGATTAAAGCTAATTTTAAAACATGCACTCTGACAGAAAAGACATCTGAGAAACAAAACAAGCAAATTTGTTTTCCATTTTGCACCTGACCCCCCCCAAAAAAGTCTCAAGAACCAGAACTGGGTAAGAACTGTGATAAAGGGAATCTATCTATATATTCATGACTTTCTTTAAAATTCATTACAAACAAGTTCAAGCTGAATATTGGTAAAAGTTCTGAAAACTCCAAAATTACTGCTTGCCCTGAGGAAGAGCTCCTACATGGTAACTCTAAAGAGGGATGAACAAAAAAGGAGTGCCCTCTAGTGTGATGAATCATGTCCCTGATTGTGAGGAGAAAAATGTATCTGGAGGGTCTAGCTCTGTGGCAGTCCAGGCAGCGCCTGAACAGAGGAAGCCCATGTCAAATGTCTTTTTATTCCATTCACACTCCAGGTCCCTGAAATACACTTACCAGTCATCTTCTAAGCTTCATTTAAATTAAAATAAATCAGACTATAAAAATGATAACAAACCAGACACACAGCTTGTTTCTAACACAGATGATGAAAATTTTTGTTATGATATAGAAACTGAAAAAGTAAAGAACCCAGTAATTATGATTGAAATGAAAGATGATTAAGAGTTTGACATGCAAATGGAAAAATGTATAAACCCAAATACCACTAATTGGAAATTAGACATTAGGCATTGGTCTCAGTCTAGAGATCCAGAAAGTCTTTTTGATTTGTGGTTTACCCACCCCAAAGAAATGAAGCATATGATTCAGATAGAAAGCCACAGTATTTCTGCTGCTACAGATACTTATAAAAACAGAAAACCAACACAATGCTTATTCCAGAAGCCACTGAATGACAATCCCAGTGTTAATAACTACAAAACCATGAATCTTGAATTATAAAATCTGGGTTATTCTTTGCCACATAGTGAGAGAACATCAAAAAATATAGCTAGAAACTTACAGCAAGATATTTCAAGGTCACTAACATAACACATGTGTACATACGTAACAAACCTGCACATTGTGCACATGTACCAGAACTTAAAGTATAATAATAGTAAAAAGAATGAGGTAGGCATGTTACAAGTAGAGTTCCTGGCTTTGGAGAAAGAGAAAGTCCAACTTCAAAAAGACAGAGGTTCACTTGCTGCTTCTTTTTTCTCTTTATCAATTATTTGATTTAGTCAAATTTTCTATTCAAGAAAATCCCATGTGTACAGTTACAGCGGGGTTTTCTAAATGTGTAATTATGTGTCAAAGTAGACTAGTCCTGCTATCTAAACAATGGTTCGGAGAATGTTCTCATAATGTTTGTTCATTAATCAACCTAAGTCTCACTCTCAGTCTTCCAAGTGGCATATGAGCTGGGAAACTAATTCAGCCATATACCATGTGACCTTCTGAACCAGATCAACATAAAGAAATTGCTAAAGAAATAAGCTTTAGATTCTAGATTCTTTTTACTATAGTCATTTAGAGATGAATTACATTTATTTAATGATAGAATGGGAATACAATGGGAGGGAAGCAATGACTGAGATGAGCCACAAAAACACTTCTAGCCTTGAGAGTTGCAATGAATATTCCCAGACAAATGAGTCTGTTTAATGTGTTTTCATGCATGCAAGTTTATCTGCTTAGCTCAAACTGTTTGAATTTATAGTTCCATCATGGTTATTTCCAATATTTTGAAAACAAATATATACTTCCACATATTTAAAAAAATCACCACTCCAATATTTCTGTTGAATCAGACCTTACATTATGTTGTTTAATAAAGTATGGTAAGTTTTGGCATGTATGATTTTTATCATGTAAGAAGCATAATTTCTTAGCTAAAAATTTAACCTTTGACTCTTTAGTAGAAAGTTGAGTTCTGTACACTGTGTTCTAAAGATAGACAAAAATCTAGAGATTTTCTTCTTTCAAAGTAAAAGCAGATGAGGCCTTTTTCCACCCTCTGAGGTGTTAAATTGCTTTGCTCGTTAGACTTTTAATATATCTGACTAATTTGATAAATTTATCTGGTAATTTATGTAATTCAGCAACATGGAATTGTATAATGTTATTTGGTGCCATGAAATGCTAGGGAATGCCGCCTCAAGAGCTCTGGATGAAACATTTCGTATGTCTTGGTTGGTTTGACTCCCATTTTCAGTAGATAATATGGCTTAAGTAGATAACTGTACCATATGTGTTCCACCTATAAACATTTGTGGTAACTGAATGTGAAATCTGGGAAGCATCTCGTTTTCCAGAATTCTGCACTAGGAACTCAGCAGTTTCATTCTGCTTCTTGTGTTGTGGCAAACAAACATTGGTTCCCATAGTTCAGGGAGAACTTTCACTTTTTTGATATCCCAGGATTCAAAAAAAAAAAAAAAAGAGATAAAAGGCAGTGGGGAAAAGAATAGCTCAGTGCAGAAAAGGGAAAACTTCTTTACTGTTCTTGAAGGCCTACAAGGTTACATCCTCTTAATCTGGCTATTTCATGTAAAATCCATGTGGCAATGACAGAAGATATATGTTATGCCTGTGTCTTTTTATTTCTCTGTTTCTGCCAGTCAACTAGCATAAACATTTATATCAGATAGCAAAGAGTGGATGCGAATAAAAGCACAAAATGGAGAAGAGTCCTTTTTGAAATTTTGGAAAATTCTTCCATTCACTCAAACAGAAATGAGCAGACTTGACAAAAATTTCAATGATAAAATGATGAGTATCTTATAATTATTATGTATAATGATAAAATTAAAGTAAGCACAAAATACTTTTATCATTAAAATGGTGATAGTTAACCTGAATCAAGTTAAAAAATCAGGGAAAAAGTTTTTTTATTGAATAAAATAATAATTATTATTCATATTACTTTTATTAAAGGTCAAAGAAGGAAATAATACAAACAAAAGTGAAAAAATACAACTATCAGAAAATGTATGTCATAGTACATCTTCTGCTGCTGCTGACAGATTAACCAAAGAAAGAAAGATTGGGAAAACGTATCCTCAGCAATTTCCCAAGAAACTGAAGGAAAAGCATGATAGGTAAGTAAGCCTATAGCAGTTTTTTTTTTTTTTTTTTTTTTTTTTTGAGATGGAGTTCCTCTCTTGTTGCCCAAGCTGGAATGCAATGGTGTGTTCTCACCTCACTGCAACCTATGCATACTGGGTTCAAGTGATTCTCTTGACTCAGCCTCCCTAGTAGCTGAGATTACAGACATGTGCCACCATGCCTAGCTAATTTCTTGTATTTTTAGTAGAAATGAGGTTTCACCATGTTATCCAGGCTTGTCTCGAACTTCTGACCTCAGGTGTTCTGCCCACCTCGGCCTCCCAAAGTGCTGGGTTTACAGGAGTGAGCCACCGTGCCTGGCCACCTATAGCAGTATTTCTCAGCAGATAATTGTCATTGTGCTATAAACTAATTCAAAATTGGACTAATGTTCATTATGATTAACAAGTTTTATAGTTTTACCAGGGATATTTAGCCCTGCCTAGTAATCAGAAAAATGCAAATTAACATAAAATAAGATATATTTTGTAAAGTCATGCTGATATTGAAAAAGTAATTCCTACCATTGAAAATGAGAGGAAAAAGGCATTCTCATACACTGTTGGTATATGAAATTGGTAAATTATTTCTGAAGGGTAACTTAGTGCTGTTTATCAAAATTTCAAATAACCTGACATCCCTTTAACTCAACAACTCCACTTCTGGGACTAGATTTCACAGGAAAACATAACTTGTGTAAACATACACACACTTATTAAGGGCATTAATTATATATTACACATAATGAACAATAGCTTAATAAATATATAAAATATATGTAATAAGAAGGTGAACTGGAAGTATTAAGAAAGAATTAGAAAAAGTGTGGGGTAACAGATGTTAGACTCTTTAGCCTAGTTTTAGATGACAATAATCTGCAGATATAGTTTGTGTGAGAGATATCTTACTCTGTAAATCATTTGGAGAGACACCTGCAATATTTCATAGAGATGAAAATTTATTTCTAGTGAACTTATACGCTTGTCAATAAATAGTAACTTTAAAAATTTAGTTGATTGTAAATGACCTTTTCTAATCAGGTAGTAATTATGACTGTGTGATTTGAAAAGGTAATTTTGAACTTCTAACTATACTGAATTATTTCCAGTATCTTTTTGTATAATACATACTAGAGTGACTAGTAATAAAAACTTTAGCAGAATATTCTTTCCTTACTAATTTTCAAGTATATGCATTCGTTTGAAGATGTTGAAGTGAGAAATTAAATATCTGAGAACTACAAAGGAAAAATAATCCAGAACATAGAAATTTTACTAGGATGATAAAGAGCATCTGCAGAGGTAGATCACAGGATGATCTCTTTATTTTTTAACAAAATGAATTTTAAGATAAATGTCTTTGTCTGCAGATGCATCTTAAGACAAGAAAGTGAAGAAAAAACAAATGTTAATATGCTGTGCAAAAAAATAGAGAAGAATTAGAAAGGAAAGGGAAACAATATAAGAAAGAAGTTGAAGCAAAACAACTTGAACCAACTATTCAATCACTAGAGATGAAACCGAAGACTACAAGAAATACTCCAAATCAGATAAATAAATCTTTGGTAAAAATTCTATATTTTAAACTTTATTTTATCAATGTTACTTATAATATCCTCTTGATTTAATATATAATATTTTGGTCTAAAACAAACCAGAAATGTTATCTCATTTTTAAAAAATGAATGATGACACTTACAGGTACAATTATTTTTATTATAAATCTTGGCATCCACATAGGATATTATTTTATTACAAAGAGCTTTTGAAAACAATAATATGCCATAATATATACTTAGTGATAACCTATTGATAAAGATTTTGTTCCCAGTAAAATTGTTCCTTGTACTTCCTGCCATTTCATATTGATTACTGTACCTAATACTATAAAGAGGAAACAAATTATTGCAATCACAAATAATCTCATGATATTCTAAGAAGAGCTCTATAAATTTTATCTTATTTACCATTGGTGTTTTGAAATAAAACTTTTCTTTCGTATTGATACATTTACACCACAGAAGTAACTGTGATCTCTCAGAGAACTAGAAGTAGAGTAAGAAGTCCTGGGGAAAATCCTGTAGCTTGCTTATATTTTTAACATTTCTTTTTCAAATTTGTGGTAACTAGATGGGTTCATCAATGAATGTATATAGGAGTGACTAGTATAATGTCTAGATTTATGATTTAGTAAATGTAATTCTTTCAACTGACTATAAAAGTGTTAAAAGAGTCAAATTAAAATAGAATGTTATCAGTGAAACAGAACTGTAATAACTCTGGGAAATTTTATCTGTCCAAATATGTGTGAACTAAGGTTCTTACTATAGGGTGGTGTATGGGTTAGATATCAAAGTGTAAATGCAATTTTTTGATATATTTTAATTTAGTCAAATTTGTTAATGCTTTAATTTATGCTTTTGAGTTTGTTGTAATTCAGGGAAAGGCTTTTCCAATTCTGAAATTCTTAAAAATTCTCTGGTGTGCGTGTGTGTGTGTGTGTTTACTTTTATAAATTCATTGACTTTAAATAAATTTCTGAACTTTTTGGAACTTATGCTCTATAAAGTTCAAAGTTTTGCTTCAACTTTTTCTCCAGTTGGATATCCACTTACAGTAACCTTTTTAGTATATGGATGTGCAGGTTATACTTTAGCTTCAGAGGTAATCATGATATTTTATTGAGTACTAGCTAAAACTTTCTTTTGTTTTATTTAGGATTTTCATAATCAGGAAGAAATGAAAGATCTGATGGATGAAAATTGCATTTTGAAGACAGATATTGCTATACTCCGACAGGAAATACGCACAATGAAAAATGACAACCTGGAAAAAGAAAATAAATATCTTAAGGACGTTAAAATTGTTAAAAAAACAAACGCTGCCCTTGAAAAGTATATAAAACTCAATGAGGAATTGATAACAAGAACAGCATTCCGGTATCAACAAGAGCTTAATGATCTCAAAGCTGAGAATACAAGGCTCAATTCCGAACTGTTGAAGGAAGAAGAAAGCAACAAAAGACTGGAAGCTGAAATTGAATCATCAGTCTAGACTGACTGCTGCTATAAGTAAGCACAGTGAAAGTGTGAAAACAGAAAGAAACCTAAAACTTGCATTAGAGTGAACACAAGATGTTTCCGTACAAGTAAAAATGAGTTCTGATATTTCCGAAGTAGAAGAATGAGTTTCTTACTGAACAACTTTCTAAAAAGCAAATTAAATTCAATACCTTAAAAGATAAGTTCCGTAAGAACAGAGATACTCTCAGAAAAAAGTCATTGGCTTTAGAAACTCTCCAAACGACCTAAGCCAAACACAGCAGCAAATAAAGGAAATGAAAGAGATGTATGAAAATGCAGAAGCTAAAGTGAATAATTCCACTGGAAAGTGGAGCTGTGTAGAAGAGAGGATATGTCAACTCCAACATGAAAATCCGTGCATTGAACAGCAACTAGATGATGTTCATCAGAAAGAGGATCATAAAGAGATAGTAACTAATATCCAAAGAGGCTTTATTGAGAGTGGAAAGAAAGACCACATGCTAGAAGAGAAAAATAAGAAGCTAATGAACGAATGTGATCATTAAAAAGAAAGTCTCTTTCGATATGAGAGAGAGAAAGCAGAAAGAGTAGTAAGTATCAAGGAAGATAAATATTTTCAAACTTTTAGAAAGAAAATTTAAACATTTGGTTCTGGATACATGTTGAACTTAGTTGAATATAAAAATCAATGGATAAAAAGTGTGTTTACCATACTGTATAATTCCATTTACATGAAGCATCCAGAAAAGATAAACGTATAGGGACAAAAAGTAGACTAATGTTTGCAAAGGGCTGGGGCTGAAAGCTGGTAGTGACTGCTAATGGGCGTCAGGGATCTTGCAGTGATGGAAATGCTGTAAAGTTTGATTGTAGAGATGGCTGCACAACTCAGTAAATGGACTAAAAATTCTTTTAACTTTAAGTTAAAACAGATACATTCTATAGTATGTAAATTATATTTCAACAAAGCTGTTTTAATAAAAAAAAAGGAAAACCGTGTTTACTATACCAGCTTAGAAACGTGCCCCATTTCTAGGAAATAAAAGGTAGAGGTGAGAGATGATTTACTTTGAGAAAAGACATTGTGTCACCTATGAAATTTTATTAGGCACAGAGTCATATTTTAAGGTAGATAGTTCTGTACTGCTGAAATAATAATTTTAATGACTTTATGTTGCCACATGTTAAGACCATAATGTAAGTATAAATGGAAATGTTTACACCTGAAATGAGTATTTTCAAATTAAAATTTAATTGATTATCTTTGACACTTAATTCTAGATTTCCCAGATGAACTGAAGTGTATTGCTGTGTCTTGTAATACCTTGCTTTAAGTAGCTTTTTATGTATTTTAGTTGGTATATCTTTGTTATTAATCATATTAATTTAACAAATCTGAAAATATGTCAAATTACATATTTTTATGACTATGTAATGTTTTAAAGGCACCTACTTGTTATAAAATCATAATTTAGGATACATGTGGTAATATTTAGCAAAACTATATTTGGTTTAGTCTTCCCACTGGTATTTATAGTTTACTTTGAATATTTATATTAATAATTAGCTCCTAATTTTTATTTCAAGGCTTAATGACTATCATTGGAATATAATTTTGTTCAGTACAAAGATACTTGTAGCTGCCTGTGATTTATGAGTAAGGCATTAGATCCCTATTTTCAGACAGAGGGGTGGCAGGCTTCACGTACAGTGGGAATGGAGTAATTACAGGAGGGAGTTGTAGGAGCTTTGAAGTCAGAGAGGGAGGTAGAGACCTGTTTACCTAGGACCTCAAAGGCCATTGGAATTTTACTTTTATTCTGAGATAGGAATCTGTTGGAAGGATTTGAACAGGTGATTGAATATGTGAGGAACTTTGAGGTTGAGTTGAGCTTCTAAGATGATTGAATGGTGGGATGAATCTGTTATGTAAGTAAGAGAATACCAATTTGGCAGGAAGAGAACATATTGTGCATCCCTCACTGAATTCAGTAATAAATAAAAATGTGTACATGTGATTAAAAGAAGGTGAATTGATATGTGTGGTGATAATTTTCAAAGTACGTATGTTAGAGTTAAATATTATTAACATAATTTAATAAGGCAATTTATAAAATCAGTAACAAAAATATTTTCTCAGGTGGTTGTGAGACAACTTCAACAAGAAGCGGCTGACAGCCTAAAAAAATTAACTATGTTAGAGTCTCCACTGGAAGGTATATCACATTATCACATTAATTTGGATGAGACACAGGTCCCAAAGAAGAAATTATTTCAAGTGGAAAGTCAAGTATGTATGGAACTTAGCATGTCAACTGTTATTCTGTAGCTAGTTGAATTACATAACATGTTTTAGGATACTAATTATGGCAGAAGCTTGATTTTTTATTTTCATTACAATGAATTATTTCCACTTTACTATCTCTATAATGTACTTATTTTTTTATATTGTGACTTTCATTCTACCATTTTGAAAAACCATTGCATACCTTTTCTCTTACAATACGTACCCTTGGAAAAGTTGAGAATTATATATCATTCCTCATAGAAAACTGACTTTTGTCCTGTTAAAAGAGTATTTTTAAGTAATTTTTGTATTGCTCTGATGAGGCAGGCCAGATTAAATCAGAGAAGAATGTTTCATGGAATGTTCCAGAAAATTGTCTTATTTCTTCACTTTTGTGAGTGGACACAGAATCTGTGTCTATTTATTTCACAGATTCTAGGTTAACTTGTACAGAAAGGCCATTATACTATTCTTTTAAAAGTGCATGTTTTAGGTTAATTTACAAACTATTTGAAAAGTTAGGCATTTTCTTTATCTTTTATTTAAAATATACTATAAAACTGTGGAAATATTTAAATTTGAGATAACATGTACATCAAAAATTGAGAGTTGAGAAAATTATCTTGATCCTGCCTTCGGATTTTAAAAACAGTTTCACTGAGATATCATTCACATTTGAGAGAGTTCAACCATTTAAAATGTACAACTCAGTATCTATTAGTAATTCACAGCATTTTCATCACCCTGAAAAGCAACGCTACATCTCCTAGGCATGACTGCAGCCTTCCTCCATGTCCCTCCACCTACCTCTGTTGTAGGCAACCACCATCTATCTGCTTTTGTCTCCATATGTTCGCCTGTTCTGCCTATTTCATATACATAGAGTTATACAATACGTAGTCCTTTGTGACTGGCTTTTTCACTTAGCATAATGTTTTCAGAATTCACTTAGCATAATGTTTTAGCACACATTGGTAGTTTATTTCTTCTTACAGTTAAGTGATATTCTATTCCATGTCTATACTGGTTTTCCATTCATTCATCGGTTGATGGACCTTTAGGTTAGTTTCCACTGTTTAGCTCTTATGAAAAATGCTGCTGCGAACATTCACTTACAGGTTATTATGTGGACACGCGTTTTTATTTCTCTGCCATTGGACTTTATCCTCAGAGTTAATTGGGCAGATTTCAGCACTTGTCTTGCTCATGCTATCCTTTCTGCCTTCTCAGTTTCTATTCATCTAGCCTCATTCACTCAGAAGTGGCAGACAATTTATTGTTTTCATGAAGCTTTCTCTGAGTGTTCTCTCATTGACCTTATGTGTTAGCAATCGTTGTCTAGTCTTTGCAGAAAAACTTAGTTCTTAATTTTACATGGCTTTTATTTTTTTATGGAAGATAGTTTTCTCTCATTATAAATTTGCTTAATGGGGGAATAATATATAATATGTGTGCCACCTATCCTTGCATACATTGAAAATATTTTAGCTTAGAAGTTTGTAGCATACAATTCAATACTTTATACCATACCAATTATTTCTTCTTTGAGACCTTGACACAGTAAGGTTTATATTCTAAGTGTGTTTTTAGCAATTAAATATCAAAGCCAACCCAATTAGTCTAATACAGGAGACTCGTTCAATCACATGTTTATGTTTTTCTCTCTATGAAAAAGAATCTAAATTGGCCTTTTTTCACTATGCAGCAGAACTGTGTTTCTGGACTGCTACCAGTTTGTCAGCTGAACAGTTCTGGGTGCAGCTTGTCCGATGACGGATAGCACAGCCCCTCAATATGAGTGCTCAGCAGAGTGCTTGTGAAGGCAGCACCACAGCAACAGTTTCTCAGAGGGAACGGATTCAGGAGCCTTGATTTAGCAATAGAGTCCAGGGTTTTCAGCTCAGTGTCTTTAGCCTGTCTCTGCTGGTCATGTCAGTTATGTACTATTCAATCCAGAAGGTGCTGTTTACATTGTAGTACATACATAGTCATTGCCTAATGAGTCATACAGAGAGAAAAGTAAGTTATAAATTATGTCCCCCATTTGCTGCAACTCTCAGTGGTAAGAATGATTCAGTGCAGCTATAGGAGAGTACTTCCATTGGCATGCCACCTGCCTAAAATACACAATTTTGTTAAGATATACAATAAAATTATTATGCTAATAGCAAATATTTTATGTAGCTCACTATGTTCCACGTAGTCTTCTAAGTGTTTCATGTTAGTCCCCAGTTAAACACCTGGTTTTGGAAGGCTGAAGCAGGAGGATCGTTTGAGCCCATGAGTTTGAGACCAGCCAGAGCAATATAGTGAGACCCTGTCTCTAAAAAAAAAAAAAAAAAAAAAAAAAAATTAAACACTTATCTGAGGCATGGTGGTGCACGCCTGTAGTCCCAGCTACATTGGGAGGCTGTGGTAGGAGGGTCGTTTGAGCTTGGAATATTGAGGCTGTAGTGAACAGTGATCAAGCCGCTGCGCTCCAGGCTGGGTAACAGAGGGAGACTCTGTCTCATAAATAAAACGTTTTGTATAGATTCCCATAGAAGTGAGTTAGACATCAGTCATAGAATTATTAGCCACTTTGATGTCTACCTTGGGAGTAAAACATATAATAAGGGGCAGCGTTAAACCATCTCAATCACTAGCCTCCAACTTCTCGAGAAGGTTCTTATTTCATGAATTTCTACACAAAAGACTACCTGGATTAAGACATTTGGTGGACACCATTTTGAGATGAAGAATCTTGAGTGAGAAGAAGGGAGTTCTCTACTTACTGAAGCTTCCCAATGACATAGTTAAGTGTCCCCCAAAAGAAACTTTAGAACAAGACTTTCATCATGCCATATCTCTATGGAAAAGGAATTTCTTTAAAAGAAAACAAAGGCAAACAATTGATAATATGATTCTCATGGGAAAGTTTTCATCATAAAAGAAAAAGAGGGCTGGGTGCCGTGGCTCACGTCTGTAATCCCAACACTTTGGGAGGCTGAGGTGCGTGGATTAGCTGAGGTCAGCAGTTCAAAAACAGCCTGGCCAACATGGTGAAACCCTGTCTCTACTGAAAATACAAAAATTAGCCAGGTCTGGTGGTGTGCACCTGTAGTCCCAGCTACTTGGGATGCTGAGGCAGGAGAATCACTTGAACCCAGGAGGTGGAAGTTGCAGTAAGCCGAGATGGTGCCACTGCACTCCAGCCTGGATGACACAGTGTGACTCCATCTCAAAAAAAAGAAAAAAGAAAAACAAAAAAGGGACAAAGTATACTGGTCCAAAAAAGAAGAAAGCAAGAAAAAAAGGACAAAGTATACTGGTTAGTATCATAACAGTGAGATAGCCCCCCTTTGAGATTAGAAAATAACAGTATACTCAAAGTAACATTAATGAGAACCAACATAAAATAGACAACATTCACTATCTACAAAAGTAATCTGCACCAATTAGCAATGTATGAGCATGTGGTTGAGAATATTTTCTATAATATGTGTACTAGAACGAAGAGACCTCAAGAAAATGGTCAGAGCTGGAAATGTAGATTAGGGAATCTAGGTCAAAGTTTTGAGATTTTAGGAGTCCTGAGAGAATTTAAAAAGAGAAATAGCCACCAGGCATGGTGGCCACACCTGTAATCCCAGCACTTTGGGAGGCCAAGGCATGAAGATCATGAGGTCAGGAGTTAAAGACCAGTCTGGCCAACAAGTTTCTTATATAGGTAAACGTGTTCCATGATGGTTTGCTGCACCTATCAATCCATCACCTAGATATTAAGCCCTGTGGGCATTAGTTATTGATCTTGATGCTCTCCCTCCTGACCCCAACAGGCCCCAGTGTTTGTTGTTCCCCTCCCCGAGTCCATGTGCTCTTATCGTTCAGCTCCCACTTATAAGTGAGAAGATGCAGTGTTTGGTTTTTTCTTCCTGCATTAGTTTGCTGAAGATATCAGCTTTGGGTTCATCCATATCCCTGCAAAGAGCATGATCTCATTCATTTTTATGGCTCCATAGTATTCCATGGTGTATATATACCACATTTTCTTTATCCCATTATCACTGATAATGTCCATCTGTGTTGATTCCATGTCTTTACTATTGTGAATAGTGCTGCAGTGAACATGCAAATGCATGTATCTTTATAATAGAATAATTTATATTCCAACGTATGGTAATTTTAAATCAGTTTTGGTATTAAAAATCATGCATTTTGGAAAATATTGATAATGGAAAAATCCAAATTCTGCCAAAATATGTTGAGAAAATAGAGGGTAAATATATCTTTTCAAACTTTAAATGCCTCAGGCTCTTAGTTAATCTTCCCCAGATCTGGAAAGACCTAGAAGGGGAGATTGGGCTACCTTAATGAGGGCCATTTCAATCTCTTGGCCCTGCAGCAGCCATTTCAAAATACGTCAAAAAATATATTTGTGGGTAAAATATTTTGATTTCCTTCAGCTTCTTCTCTCTGTGATGCTGCACCAGAATCAGATTAGAAAGGAAGCCATATTATAAGTGTTAATAAAACCCATCTGATGAGATTTGATAGTTTGAAGGGTGTGTTTCCCAGACCCTTTAGATAGAAATTGGGGCCAAGGAAAACAAGGTCTTATTCCTCTATATAAATCTGTCAGTGCTTTAAGCAGCGAAAGAAAGATTTTTCATTGAATTTTACAGACTTGATACTAATGAAAAGGATAGCTTGTAAAATATAAATCTCTTTTTCTATAAAAAGGACATGTTGTTGATTCTCTTAGACCTTGAACCCTGGCCAGTGATTTGAAACCAAGCAGTACCTATCTGCAGATCTCTAGTACCAAATTAATTTGGGGTGGGGGGTAACAGGTTTATTGAGAAATAATGAACACGCCATGCAATTCACTCATTTAAAGTATAGAATTCATTAACTTTAGTATTTTCAGAGAGTTATGCCGTCATCATTACAATTAATTTTAGAACATTTTCATCACCCTAAAAACAAACCCCACATCATTTAGCCATCTTCACTAGTTTTCCCTTCCTCCCTCAGCCCTAGGGAACCACCCACCTTCTTTGTATAGATTTGCCTATAAGCCTCTGAAATAAAAAGCAAGTGGTCTGCTGGGACTGGCTTATTTCACTTAGCATAATTTTTCATGCTGCATCTGTGCTGTAGCAGGTATTGATGCTGGGTTTTTGCTCCTTAGTTCAGCTACATCTGTGTTCTTCTCTCGTGACCAGGAAAAATTAAGCATGCAGACACATTGAGGAGGGCAGAATTTATTATGTGAAAGCACAGCTCTCAGCAAAGAGAGGGGTCCTGCAAAGAGGTTTCCACCTCACAATTGAATACCAGGAGCACATGAGCTGAAGCGGCCAGGCTCCTCCTCTGCATAAGGTGTGAATTCCTGGTGACTCCACCCCATCCCCCCACTGCATGTGGGCCTCCAGTCTGCTGTGGGCATGTCCAGGCAAGACAAGTCCAGGTTCCCTTATCTGCACATAACATCTGGTGTAAACACTTGTGGGGCTCGTTGGAGATTCTCCGGGGACCCTTCCGTATCTGCATAGGCATTTTGCTGTCTCCTCCTAATACGGTATCTGTACTTAATTTCTTCTTATTGCTGAGTAATATTCCATTGTATGGATACATCAAACATTTTATTTATCCATTCGCCAGGTGATGGACCTTTGGGTTCTCTCCCAGCCAAAGGTGACAGACGTTCTGGTTCTTTCCACCTTTTGACTACTATTAATAATGCTGCTGTAAACATTTATGTATGAGTTTTTGTGCTTGCGTATGTTTTTATTTTTCTGGAGTATATACTTATGACTGGAATTTCTGTGTCATATGGTAACTTCATGCTTAACCCTTTAAGGAGCTGCCAGTTTGTTTTCCAAAGTGGCTGCATCACTTTACATTCCCAGCAGCATTAGATAAGGGTTTTAATTTCTTTACATTTTTCCTAACACTCTTTTTTCTTGAACAAAGATTTTATCCTGTGGTGTGAAGTGATACCACATGTGGTTTTGATTTACATTTTCCTAATGACTAATTACATTAAGCATCTATTAATGTGCTTATCCATCTTTATATCTTCTTTGCAGATATATCTATTCAAAATCCTTGCCCATTTTTTAAAATTGGCTTATCTTGTTATTTATTAATTGCAAGAGTTATTTATATTTCCTATATATGTAAGTCCCTTATCAGATACACGCTTTTCAAATACTTTCTTCTACTTGGCGTCTTACCTTTTCACTTCTTCATGCTGTCTTCTGAGGCACAGCAGTTTTCAATTTTGAAGTCCATTGAATCCATTTTTCCTTTGGAGTCATAGCTAAGAAAACACTGGCAAATGCAGTCACAAAGATTTATGCCAGTGTTTTCTTCTGAGGGTTTTATAGTTTTAGCTTTTACAGTTAACTGTTTTATTTTGAGTTAATTATTAAATATGATATTTGGTCGAACTTTATTTATTTTTTGCTTATGGATACCCAGTTGTCCCAGCACCATTTGTTGAAAAGACTATTCTTTTCCCATTTTGTTCTTTTGTTAAGCTTGTATAAAATCAATTGACTGTAAAAGTGCAGGCTTATTTTTAGATTGTCAATTCTTAGCTTGTTTATGTCTATTCTTATGTCAAGGCCCAATCGAATTGAATGAGAAGTTTTTTTCAATCATGTTGCATATTACCAGTTGTCTTATGTCATAATAAAAATTAAATTTAGTGGAATGTCTGTAACTTCACCTTTTGTGTCACAAAGGAGTCTCTGGCCAGCTTATACCTTACTTCCTCTAAGACATGATCAGACGCCAGGCTTACAAGACACACTTAATTTCTTTTTTTCTCCATTCAAGCCTTTAGTCTCTTTTCCATTGCCTCCCACTATAGTTATATTTTCAGAAAGTTTTGGTTACAGGATCTGCTGACATAGTCTAATATTCAGTGCATTATGTTTTACTAACTCATTATAATTCATAGAACCTTCCATAGATGTTTACCATCTAGGAAGGAGAAGTTTAAGTCTGAGCCACCAGCTTTCCTCAGTGGAAATCAAGTGAAGTCATCATCTTGCAGTTTACAGACCCTCTTTCCTCCTGGTAGCTGGTTCTCTTGGGTAGCACTGTGGCTAATCCTTTTATTAGTGCAGATCTTGCATTCTCAGAAACCACAGTTCCCTATATTGACCTCCTTTTACTGAAACAGAGATGCACAGCTCTGCTTTCTAGCTCAGTAGAGGATTCTTGGAATAAAACGTTTAACTCATTCCAAGAAAAAGTCTTAGGAGTGCAGCACTTCAAAATCAGGTAACGTTCAGGCAATTTATCAGAGACACATAGTAGATTAGTATTTTGACTTTCAAAATTTCAGAGCCAAGTTGTGTGCTATAGAGAAGCATTGTGGCATAACATAGAAATGGGATGGTCTTAACTTCTCCATACAAACAAGCTTGGAGTAAGGTAAAGGAGAAGTTGCATTTGTGTCTTAACACTCAAAACACACTATGCTTATTTTACTTCTGTGAAGAATAAAAATCATTCCATAATATTCTCCTTATTTCCTCATTTAGAAAAGAAAATGAAAATTGAATACTAGGTTGATTAATAAATACTCAAAACTTCTTCTTTTAGAATTTTAGTTAATTGAAATCAGGTAAATGTCTGATTTTGCCTATGTCACCCAGTATTTCTAGTTGTTTTTCAAATCATACATCTTCTTGCTTCCCAGTCTTACTTCCTAACTTGAGGGGAAATTGTAAGAAGACACCCTTGCCTTGTTATCAGAGTTCATAATTGAAGTTGTTTTAGGAAAATTCCTCCTCAGCAGCTTATGTCTCTCTCCTGGTTATCTACTGCTTCTCAATAATGTTTGACATCAATAAATAAATATCAACCTTTATTAGATCCTGCTTTAAAGGAGACTCTTTTCTGCTGCATAAGTTATGTTTCCTGTTGTCTCTTTTTAAAACTTATTTTCCTAACAATTACCCAGAGTCTTGTGGCTTGAAAGAAAAACATTTATTTTGTTCATGAACCTGTGGTTTGGGAAAAACTTGGCCAGGACAGCTTGCTCTGCTCCCTTCAGCTTCCCTAGGAACAGCTGATCAGTTGGGGAAATGGAATCCTCTGAAGCTTTGGTCACCCACTTGTTTGATGGTTGATGCTGGCCATCGGCTGTAAACTTGGTTGGGACAGGCAGCATGAACACTGACACAGGCACTTTCAGGCTCTGTTTGTGGCCTGATGGCTCTCACAATTGGGGCTGGGTTCCAAGGGAAAACAGTCTGAGATAGGGAAGCCACATGGTATCCCTTTCACTACATTCTACTCATTAGAAGGAAGTCAGTAAGGCTGGCCCATATTCTGTTTTTTAAATGGGATGAATGTAGCTTCTCTTTTGTTTTAATTGACACATATATACATAATTATGGGCTATAGAGTGATATTTTTATACACGTATATAGTGTGTAATGATCAAGCTAACTAGCACATTTACTACTTCAACCATTTTTCATTTCTTTGAATTGTGAACATTCAAAATTTTCTGGCTTTTTAAAAATATACAATAAGTCATAGTTAACCATATTCACCCTACAATGCCACAGAACACCAGAACTCACTCCTCTTATCTAACTGTAATTCTGTATCCATTAACCAGCCTCCTCTCCCCTACTTCTGTGAGCTTTTTTTTGTTAAGAGACAGGGTCTTGCTAGTGTAGTCTGGGCTCTGGGCAACTGTAGTCACCCAGACTGGAGACAGTGGTTTGATCATAGTTCACTGCAGCTTCAAACTCTTGGGCCCATCTGATCCTCACACCTCAGCCTCCTGAGCAGCTGGCATTATGGGCATACACCATTGCACATGTCTGATTTTTGACTTTGTAGAGATATCTCCCTATGTTGCCCAGGGAGCTCTGGAACTTTTGGCCTCAAATGATTCTCTTGCTTTGGTCTTACAAAGAGCGAGGAAGTTACAGGCATCAGCCATATTGCCCAGCCTTCAATTTTCCTTTAGCTCCCACACATGAGTAAGAATGTGCAGTATTTATCTTTCTGTGTCTGCACTTAACATAACATCCGTCAGACTGATCCACGTGGCCACGAATAACAGGATTTAATTCCTTTATATGGTGAATAGTATTCCACTGTGTTTGTGTGCCACAGTTTTTCGTCCATTCATTTGGTGATGGACATGTAGGTTGATTCCATACACAAGCTGTTGTGGATAGTGCTACAGTAAACATATGAGGACAGATATCCTTTTGATCTATTGTTTTCTTTTCTATTGCCTGAATACCCGGTAGTGGGGTTGCTGGATCCCTCGGCAGTCCCATTATTAGTTTTTTTGAGAAAACCTCCTGTTGTTCTCTATAGTGGCTGCACTAATTTACCTTCCCACCAACAGCATGTAAGAGTTTACTGTTCTCTGGAGCCTCACCAGCATTTGCTATTTTTTTTGTCTTTTCAATGACAGCAATTTATTCAAATTGAAGCAAGATTATATCACATTGTAGATTTGATTTGTATTTCCCTGAGGATTAGTGATACTGAGCATTTTAAAATTTATTTATCGGCTATTTGTATTTCTTTTTCTAAAAAAAAGTATAGTTAGATATTTTGCCCAATTTTAAACTCAGATTTTTTTTACTGTGAAGTTGTTTGAGTTTTTTTGTATATTTTGTATATTAGTCCCTCATTAGGTGAATAGCTTGACAATATTTTCTCCTATTCTACAGGTTTTCTCTTCACTCAGTTGTTTGCTGGACAGAAGCTCTTTAGCTTAATGTAGTGTCTTTTGTCTATGATTTGTTGTTTGCCTATGCTTCTGATGTCTTACCCATAAAAATCTTTGTGCAGACTAATGTCCTCAAGCATTTTCCTTATATTTACTTAGAGTAGTTTGATAATTTTGGGCCTTACATTTCAGTCTTCAATCGATTCTGAGTTTATGTTGTTATATGGTGTTACATAGGAAGCTAATATCATTCTTCTCCATATGGATATTTAGTTTTCCCAGTGTCATTCATTTGAAGAGGCTGTCCTTTCCCCAGCGTATGTTCTTGGAATGTTCGTCCAAAATCAGTTGGCTGGAAATATGTGAATTTATTTCTGGGTGCTGTATTCTATGGTCTTTACCCCAAGAATCATTACTTCTTAAAATGCAATTCAAATTAGCATGAAACATTTGCAGTTTAAGGAAAGGCTTATAGCATCAGAATCCTTAATCATAGATTTCATTATTTTGTGTTGTTTTTTGATATAGGGTCTTTGTCTGTTATCCAGGCAGAAGTGCAGTGATAATAATTCACTGCAGCCCTGAACTCTGGGTACAAGCCATCCTTTTGCCTCAGTATCCCAACTAGCTGGGTCTACAGGCATGAACCACCATGCCCGGGTAATTAAAAAAAATTTTTTTTTGTAGAGATGGGGGTCTCACTATGTTGCTCTGGCTGATCTTAAATTCCTGGCCTCAAGTGATCTTTCTGCCACAGCTTTTTAAAGTGCTAGGATTACAGGCATGAGCCACCATGCCTAATATAGAGTGTAATATCACTTTCAAAGTCTTATTCCTAGACCCATTTATTGACTTTGGCCTAAATAACTCAATATGATATCTCTGAAACTTTTTTTGACATACTGTGGGGAATGATAATGAAGGAAGGGGGTTAGACACTTTTTACTAGGAGATAACTTTGTGCCATTTAAGGAGGAACAAAAATGAATTATCAGAAAAATAAAAGTAAAATTAAGTACAAAAATTCTGTGGCAAAGATGATGATAGTAAAGAATATATTTTTATGACTCATGGTAGCTTTAACTTTGTTCTTAAAATTCTGAGTAATTTAAGGGTTCACATTTGAAGAATCTGCTGCATTACAGATAACATTTTATTGCAAGTAAATGCATTTCAAAATTTGCTATTGGTTTTGTATTAGATTATTCTCAGCCTACTTCATTATCAAGTTATACTATTTTATTCTTGCAGTTTGATGATCTTATGGCGGAGAAGGAAGCTGTATCTTCAAAATGTGTCAATTTGGCTAAAGAGAATCAAGTTTTTCAACAGGAGTTATTATCTATGAAAAAAGTACAACAGGAATGTGAAAAACTTGAGGAAGATAAAAAGATGTTGGAAGAAGAAATATTAAATCTTAAGACACATATGGAAAACAGTATGGTAGAACTTAGTAAACTACAAGAATATAAATCAGAGCTAGATGAAAGGGCAATGCAGGCAGTAGAAAAATTAGAAGAAATCCATTTACAGGTGAGTTGTTTAAATCAGGTAAGTTTACTTGTAATGTGCTTTCATTTATTTCACTGCAAATTATATTTTGGAGATATATATATATATAAAGAGATTGCCTCTCTTGTAGCAATCTGCTTTGTAGAGTTCTAGAAAAAAATGGTATCTGTTTTTTCTTTTAAATATTTAAATTTCCATTATTATTATAACAAAATCAATCTTTCAGAGTAATGATTCTCATTATGGAGTCATTTGATGATTAAGACCAGTTGGCATAGGAAAAAATTGTGTTTTAGAAATTATGTGATAATTATGAATTGGTCTTAAGCTACAGTGTTCATTGATCACTTTTTAAAACTATGAATGGATTCTATTACTTTTTATATGACCAGATTACATTAATACTAGCATAATTATGATTTCAAATTTTTACAAATCAGACTTAATTCTGAATTCAGTTATTAGTTTTGATATTGCTGAAATATTTTAAACTTCATCCTCTTTTTTAACATATTCAAAAATACTCTTTGAATCGCTGACTCAAAATGAAAGGCAACAAACATAATAATTAGGTTATAATTGTTTTAAAAGTGTATTCTTTTCCTCTGTTTTAGGAACAAGCACAATATAAAAAACAATTAGAGCAGTTAAACAAGGATATCATACAGCTTCACTAAATAAGAAGGAACTCACACTTAAAGATGTGGATTGTAAATTCTACAAAATGAAAACTGCTTATGAAGAGGTTACAACTGAGTTAGAAGAATATAAGGAAGCCTTTGCAGCAGCATTGAAAGCTAACAGTTCCATGTCAAAAAAATTAACTAAGTAAGTCAAAACATACACTCATAGAAAATGAATTAAGCTCATTAATTTGTTTCAAAAGCATAATTTTTAGTGAGATGGCTTCAGGAGATTAGAAGGAAGTGAATGCTAATTTGACAATGTAATTTTGAAAAATAACGTGAGTAAATAATTTTACCTTTAAAATGTTAGTCAAAGATAGTTTTTGTCTCTCCTCTCATTTTTTTTTTTGCTTTTGTATGGCTTTTTTTCCTGAAAAGTCTCATATAATTAACCTGATCTGTTAGTTTTTTTCACTAAGTATTTTTGAAGCTTTATAATTAATGAAGTGATCTTGTTATAAAATTACTTGTCAGAATTTCCCTAAATAGAAATATTAATGTGTTTAATTTACTTTTCAGTGGATCACAACCTAAATGCAAAGTGGTACTGCTACTCTGGGCACAATTGTTTTTGATTGTGATCTTTAGTATTATCACCAGAGGGTGCCTCAAGAAAGACTATTTGTGTAACATATTCAAGATGTTACAGAAAGGCACCCTTGTGAAATAGGGAATAATTATCACAGGAATTTAAAGAAGTGTAATTCACAAAGCGGTTAAAAAATAACACCTTGTTCAGCCTGAAGCGGTGTGTGGAAGGCAGAAAGAACATGCCCCACCTCCAGGGCCTTGGTCACAGTGTTGGGGACTAATTGCCTTCAGAGATGCTTTAGTTCTTTTTGATCACCAACCAGACAATCTAGTTCTCCCCTAGGAGTTGTTGCTCTGAATTATTCCTCAGTGCCAAATGTTTAATTGGTCCTAGATAATGGGTGTGTACAAGAGTGAAATCTAAAACTGGTTTACTAAACACAAGTGTTCCTAGATTTTTTTTCTTTCATTTTAGTTTTCTTAACCTACATTAAGGAGTACAACATGATGTTTTGATATAATTATTTCTAGTGAAGTGGTTCTTATAATCAAGCAAATCAACATATTCATTTTCCCACATTATTACCCTTTAAATACAAGTATTTCTAATGGAATCTTCAGAATCTTCCAAGTAGAGCCATTTTAGAAGGCAGGAAGTTTTACCTGTTGAGCCATACATCACTGATAGCCATTTCTCTTCCCTGTCTACTTTGTTTGAACTGCTTGTTCAGTAGAAATCACCTTAGAAACAATGGTGCTTCTTTAGAATGATTTTAAAATTATAATTCCTTACAACAGGTATGCTCTTACACATCTTCTGTGTGAAAACACTATTTAGTGGGTAATTTGGTTTACTCTCAGGGTAAGTTTTTAAAAACTGCAAGTCATTAAGAATCATTTAAGGAAAAATGAAATATTAAGCATTTGTCTTTGCTACCTTTACAGATCGAATAAGAAAATAGCAATGATCAGTATCAGCTCTTTATGGAGAAAGAGCAGGTGAAATATTTTCTCAGCACTCTTCCTACAAGGTGAGGTCGAGAGTCACCTTGTGTTGAAAATCTTACTAGTATAGGACTCAACAGAAAATATATTCCCCAAATGCCCGTAAGAATTCCTACTTCAAACCTCAGACTTCAAATAACTGCCAGAACTACTTGACTGAGGTTAGTTATATGACCGTTTCTCTTTAGGGTTTCATTTCTCTAGCGTAATTCTTGTTTATAATTTGGTGAAATACTGAGTTGTTCTGTTGACTTTTGCATGTGAAGTAAAGATCATAATTAGCTGTGTTAACACAGAAAGGAAATGGGAACTTTACATTTTTTAATTCCCTGGAGCTCTCATTTTCAAGAGATATCCATTTGCTAACTTTATTCAATAAATGTGACTAAACTGACATGATTGAAATGTCTTTAAAAGCTGCATTTAAGTTAGGTTTTAGAAATTGCATGTTATTGCCTGATAACTGATGATATACTTTGAGATGCTCTGGCTTACTCTCTAATTGATTGTAGTTTAGCTGTGGTTCATACCACATTTTTTTTTCTTTTTTTTTGAGGCAGTGTCTCACTCAGTCACCCAGGCTGGAGTGTCTTGGTGCCATCTCCACTCACTGCAACCTCCACCTCCCGGGTTCAAGTGATTCTCCTGCCTCAGCCTCCTGAGTAGCTGAGACTAAAAGCACCCACCATTACACCCAGCTAATGTTTGCATTTTTAGTAGAGACAGGGTTTCACCATATTGGCCAGGCTCTTCTTGAACTCCTGACCTTGTGATCTGCCTGCCTGAGCCTCTCAAAGTGCTGGGATTACAGGCATGAGCCACCGCACCCAGCCCATGCCACTTTTAAAGTTTCTTTGCACCAGCCAGGTGTGGTGGCTCATGCCTGTAATCCCAGCACTTTGGGAGGCTGAGGCAGGTGTATCACGAGGTCAGGAGTTCAAGACCAGCCTGGCCAAGATGGTGAAACCCCAACTCTACTAAAAGTACAAAAAAATATATTAGCCTGGTGTGGTGGTGGGCACCTGTAATCCCAGCTACTAGGAAGGCTGAGGCAGAGAATTGCTTGAACCTGGGAGACGGAGGTTGCAGCAGCTGAGATTGCACCACTGCACTCCAGCCTGGGTGACAGGGCAAGACTCCATCTTGAAAATAAAAAAAAATTAAAAAAGTTTATTTGCACCATCTCAATTCTTCCCACCCATAATCACAACTGAATGATTAGCATCCAAACACTTTGCCACATATGGATGTTTATTATTTAGTAGAATCCAAAATAATTGCATTTTATGAATTAAACAAAACACTAAAATGTTCATTTCCCTTTTTATGTTAAAAGCTTTGTGGTTGGCCAGGCATGGTGGTTCACACTTGTAATCCCAAAATTTGGGGAGGCCGAGGCAGGTGAATCACCTGACGTCAGGAGTTTGAGACCAGCCTGGCCAAAATGATGAAACCTGTCTCTAGTAAAAATACAAAAATTAGCAAGGCGTGTTGGCAGGCATGTGTAATCTCAGATACTCAGGAGGCTGAGGCAGGAGAATCACTTGAACCCAGGAGACAGAGGTTGCAGTAAGCCAAGATCATACCACTGCACTATAGCCTTGGTGATGGAGACTCTGTCTCAAAACAAAACAAAAAAAAAGGTTTGTGCTTTCCTTACATAAGAGTACATCTTCTGACTATAAAAATCCTGGAAAAAACCTAGGAAATACTCTTCTAGATATCATATTTGTCAATTAATTTATGGCTAAGTCCTCAAAAGCAATTGCAAGAATAACAAAAATTGACAAGTGTGATCTAATTTAGCTAAATAGCTTCTGCACAGCATGAGAAACTATCACGGGATTAAACAGACAGCATAAGGAATGGAAGAAAATATTCACAAAGTATGGATATAGCAAACGCCTATTATCCAGAATCCATAAGAGACCTAAACAAATCAACAAGCAAAAAATAAATAAGACCATTAAAAATGGGCAAAGGACATGAACAGACAGTTCTCAAAATAACACACATAAGTGGCCAACAAACATTAAAAAATGCTTACCATTGCTAATCATCAGAAAAATGCCAAACAAAACATCAATTAAATACCATTTCACATCAGTCACAATGACTTTTGTTAAAAACAAATAATAAATAAAAACTTAAAAAAGGATGTTGGGGAGGCTGTGGAGAAAAGGGAACACAAACCGTTTGTGGCAATGTAAATTAATTCAGCTACTATGGAGAGCAGTTTGGAAATTAAGAACTAAGAATGACTGTTGGATGCAGCAACCCCATTACTATACTAGGGGTATATCGAAAGGACAATAAATCATTGTAACAAAAAGATGTATACACATGTATGTTCATTGCAGCACTATTCACAATAGCAAAGACGTGGAGTCAATCCAGGTACATCCAAGGTAGATTGAAAATCCAAGGTAGATTGGAAAATTCCATATATACCATGGAATACTATGCAGCCATGAAAAGAACAAAATCACATCATTTGCAGCAACATGAATACAGCTGGAATCCACTCTCCTAAGCAAACCAACGCAGAAACAGAAACCAAATATGTCATGTTTTCACTCATGTGGGAGCTACATATTGGGTGCACATTGTCATAAAGGTGGGAATAATAGACACTGGGAAATAAGAACGGGGAGGGACAGAGTGGGCCAGGGTTGAAAAACTACTTCTTGGGTCCTATGCTCACAAACTGTGTGATGGGTTTAATTGTACTGCAAACCTCGGTATCCCTCAATATGCCTTTGGAAGAAATTTACAGAGGTACCACGTTAATTTAGAATACAAACTAGAAAAAAAAAGAAAAGTTTCCTATAAGTAGAGAACAGAAATTTCTTTTTAAGATAAAATTTATTGAAGTAAAAAATGGATTAAATTTTTATAAAGGGCAGAGTTTTCTAAGAATTTCAAAGCAATGCATTCATTGCAAAAGATGGCTTTAATTACTTAATCTTTTTTTTTTTTTTTTTTTTGTGAGACAGGGTCTCACTCTGTCACCAGGCTGGAGTGCAGCGGTGCAGTCTTGGCTCACTGCAACCTCCACCTCCTGGCTTCAAGCAATTCTCCTGCCTTAGTATCCCAAGTAGCTGGGACTACAGGTGCACATCACCACGCCCAGCTAATTTTTGTATTTTTAGTAGAGATGGGGTTTCCCCATGTTGGCCAGGATGGTCACGATCTCCTGACCTTGTGATCTGCTTGCTTTGGCCTCCCCAAGTGCTGGGATTACAGGTATGAGCCACCATGCCTGGCCATTGTTTAACCTTTGTACTAATAAAACACTACCTTTCTAAAATCATGTATATGCAATAGATCAATATTAACTGCATTTTTGTCAGATTACTCTAAACAGCATTACACATATACATCCTCTGTTATCTAAACTTAAAATAAGTAGAAATTTTATTTTATTTATGTGATTATTTTTCTATTTAAGCAAACTTCAAGTAATGTCTAGTCACTAAAAATACTAAAGGCCACATTTTGTAAGTGATACATGATTTTCATGATAATGTTTCTTGTTTAATTTAGACATTATTATTATTTTTACTTATTTTAGATGGGGCTGGACTGTGTAGAATAAATAATTAGAGAAACAAAGAGAAGTACGTTGACAAAATTTATTAATTAAATTTAGGTTTATTTTAGAAATAAAGTGTAAATAGCAAATGGCATTCCTTTTCATTCTTGGGTTAGTAGATACTACATCAATATTTTTTCTTACACACATCTAATGAAAGATGTGAAAACAAAAACTTTCACAGAGAAGACTGCACTTATGCACCATAAATTCATCATGTTCCAAAGCTTAAACAGTTCCCAAGAAGTCTGTGCATCTCTTCTTCACTGGTTCTACACTTTCTTAAGTTTTGCCATCCTCATGGAACTGTCAGCCAGCACACTGAAACGATTCTCAGAAAACAAAAGCATCATCAAGTTCTCAGGGTTTCGGTAGAGATTGAAGGCCAACAGACCTAAGACTCATTCAGAAATACTTAGCTGAGCAATAACCCTTCATAAGCAGTCACTTGACAGGTGACATTTTAAATCTCCTCTAATTTACTGTGTCATTGGCTTACACTTGTTCTCAGGAAAAGTTCCAAATTTTTCACCATGAAATAAAAACACCCATGTCAATGTAATTCTTGCCAAGTTACTCAGCCTTGTTTCTCACCACTTACTGCACTCTGCCCTTTGCTCTAGCACCAAACTGGATGGAGTGGAACTCTGCAGGGCTCTTCCTCACCTCAGGCTCTTTGCCTTTGCCTCTTTCCTCTATCTGGGAAGCTTTTTCTTGTCCTTCAGGTATCAACCTATGTTATCTCCTCCACCAGAAAGCCCATGATATTGACATAAAAGTGGGTAGATGTCCCTTCTCTGTGTTCCAGTAGTGCCCTGCTGTATACCTGTCATGGTATCTATGACTCTATATGGACATTGCCTGCCTGTCTGTTTTTTAGGTTATAGCTTATGACTGTTGAGAGGTGGACCATGCCATCTTCATCTTGTAATTCCAGTGCTGGTTCTAGTACCTTAGCATGTGGCTGTTGATTACATGAATGAAGACTGAAAAAGCTCTGATATTTAAACACAATTAGAATTAATGCCATGTGTAAATTATTAAATAGTAATTTTGTATTGTAAATGTACATACATATTTCTCATTCTTATTAACTCTGATAAAGTTCTCAAGTCTTTAGTTTTTAAACTCACTCTTAGTTAACTGAAGTGTTTTAGGTAAAGAACAAAATTCTTTATTTTTCTTTCCAGCTGTTGCTGTATTGGACACTTGCTCCCATCTACTTTCTTCTCTAGAATCCACGGGTAAGCCACATCTAATGAAGAGAATATTTAACCATAAAGTCTTAAGGAAAAATTCTATGATGATTTAAAAGATTATAAAACTTTATTACTGGGCTATTTACACATTTTAATTGTTTCTCATAAAATATATAACATTCCAATATTTACTGAAGTAGGATATTTTTGTATCATATGTATGATTATAATTTATAGGATATTTTAAATGATGTTTTTTGGCCTCCTTAAGTTTTAAGTGGATCTTGCAAATGAAAACCAGTATTATTGAGTTTGACATACTCAAATTGCCCAAATTTCAGCTGTTTAAACAACCAAGTCATCATTGATACTTTAGTAAAGGTTAGTAAATGTCATCGAAGGCTTATTTGCATTTTACAGTTTTTATTACTTAGGAGAGTTAAGGAGTACCTGCCAGGTTTGTCCATGCTAATGTTACAATTTTCTTTTTGTAGTTCAACCGTATTTTGTATGGAGATACTTTGAGGCTCTGTAAATATCTGGTTACTCCTCAGAACCCACTAGATTTAGCATTTCATGGATGACTTGTGTTTGAACAATTATTACTATGATGGTTACCAGATGATTATTTTCTTATTCTCTTCTTTGTTCTACATGGAGAAATAAAACCAATAAATAAGGGAGAAAGAAAGCTCATGATTCTGATGCTCCAATTCCCCAAGATTAGGCCAGTAGTAGACATTCCAAGCTGACTTTATGTCTCTTTGATTTGTCTCCATTACTCTGTCGGCACTTTTTTACTTTCTTTCAGAAGATGTTCTAAGCTCAGCTTGTATTTTCTCTGCACCAGCTCTGGAATGAGTCATTTTTTTTAGAAGCAGAGGTGGAGCCACTGAGGAAACACAGGTGAGCCCTCCCCAGTGTGTACTCACTGGTCCCCAACAGAAGAACCACTGCCACATCCACTGAAGTACCAAGAAACTAGCAAAGGGACTTCTGGCTGTCTGGGGAGAGTACTCATGTGGTCCCTGGCTGTCTCAGAGGTTCTGGATTAGTCTTCCTGTAGCCTCTGTGTTGTGTCTTTAGATCGGGGCTCTGTGGGAAGGGCCCTGAGAGACCCAACAGCACAGCGTGCCTTATCTGCCAAATGTCCCTCCCTTCCTCACACTCTGACACTCAGGAATAGGGTAGATGGTGTGTCCAGGCAGTGTCAGGCCACCTCACTTTCTCCTTTGAGACGGGCCCAGAGGGCCTTTGGGGTGAGTGTGGAGCTGGGAACTTGGAGCCTGAGGCCAACTGTCTCTCCCTGTGTCTTGGAGGAAAGGCCACGTCCCAAAAAAAAAACCCAGGGCCTGACCTCCGGGCACACATGCAGGGAGGGAGGGTCTATGAGCTGAGGGGGACATTGTAATGAGACTTTGAACCCCGTTGCTCTGGGGCCTGGTCAGTGGACCATGGTCAGAGATGACCTGGTCATCAGGACCTGGTCATTTGGGACCTGATCAGCAGGGGCCTGGTTAGTGGCAGCCTCCTCAGTGGGGACCTGGTGACCTAGTCATTGGAAGCCTGGTCAGTGGGGGGACCTAGTCAGTGGTGGCTTTATTACTGGGGCCTGATCTGTTGGAACATAAACAATGAAAAACTGGTTGGTGGGGCATACACAATATATCACGGGCCTGGTCAGTGTGGGGCCTTAGTGGCTTGGGGCCTGGTCAGTGAGGGCCTGGTCAGAGGGGGCTCAGTCAGCTGGGTACTCGTTCATGGAGAATTGTTCAGTGGGGGGTCGGTTGAGCAGCAACCTGGTAAATTGTGGTCTTGTCAGTGGGAACCCTGTCTTGTCAATGGGGACCAGGTCAGTGGAAAATTGGTCAGTGGGGTCTGGCCCATGAGGCCTATTAAGTGTGGGCCTGGTTAGGAAGACATGGTCAGTGGGGACTTGATCAGTGGGACTTGGTCAATGGAGGAGTGGTCATTAGGGGTCTCATCACTCATCACTGGGAACCTGGTCAGGGGCAGTTTGTCAGTACCTGGCCTGCTGGCCACTATCTGACCTCAGGCAGGGAGGTTGTCTGTGGAGCCTCCTTGCCTCCATCTGCAGGGAAAGTGAGTCGGGGCACCCTGGAGGGTCGCTGGAAAGAGAAGGTGAGAAGATGTGTTGAATCCAATACTGCTTGGCAGACCTACAACTTTACAAATGACCTGTGTTCCACCTAGAGAGTGTGCCAGCCCTCTCAGCATTATGCAGTGCCCCTCCTCTGTCTGCATCCCCAGTACCACCATGGGTGGGGAGGGCAGAGATTGGGGAGCACCTATAGAGGCTCTAATGCTCTAAGGTGACAGTGATGAGGACCTGGGTGCACCCATGAGTGGAGAAGCCAAGCCTGTCCAGAGAAGCAAGACAAACACACACATACACACACACACACAGGCACACATGCATACACAAATACATTGCATACACACATGTCAGTTCAGGGGATAGAGGACACTGACTCTGGGCCCTGTTGACCCAAGCAGACTCCCATGGTGGTGGGTTGTGTCACCCCACAATGTCACTGTTGCTGAGTCCCCATCGCCTCTGTGTTGTGGAGCAGTTAGAGACACACAGCAGTGTCTGTGAGTAGCTCTGCGTGAAGGACCATTTTCTAGATGAGAGGCACATCTCAACACAGCTCACTGATCAGATTCAGGTGAGTGGGACCTGCTCTTTTCTCTTCCTCCTGGCTTGGGAAAAGTCACTATCAGGTGGGTGGTTTTGGCCTCTGGGCAGCTACTGAGGGTAATCCCTGAACACTCACCAGCTGCCTGTTATGTGCTGACAGTCATCTCATTCATCCTCGCAGCAATTCCATTCTGCATCTTTTCTGATCACCTCCGTGACCACACAGGACAACCCCATCAGGGCCCTGTCACCAGGCCCAGTCTAGCTCCATGATAACCAAGACACAGGTCCAGAGACAATCGTCCTACATTGTGCCTGCATCTGACCCCCCTTGGTAGGTAGTGACCAGCACAACATGGAAGAAGCCAGGGCAGCATGCAGCCAGCTGCTCTGCAGCCCCAAATGGCTCCTGGGCCTTGCAAGTCATTCATAAAGGGAAAGCTGGTCACTTTGAGGTCTCTGAAGGGAAGGGTGAACGTGCATCCCAACAGCCCTGGCAGCCAGCAGCATGCCATATATCTTCTCACCCAACCTGTGTGACAGAGGTCCCCTCCTGGGGCACAAGTCCCATACCTAAAGCATCCTGTCCCAGTCGGACCTCATCCTGAGCCCTGGGAGGGGAGGGGTACCATGGGCCCCCCTGCAGCAGCCAGGATTACCACCCAGGGGACTCGGCCTTCTGTGGCCCTGGCCAGACTTAGAATTTGGCCCAAGACAAACTTACTCGGAGCAGCTTCTCAGTACCTGGGGCCTGTGCATTCCAGGCAAGGCCAAGCTGGCTCAAAGAGCAACCAGCCACCTCTGCAAGGGTGTGCCAGGAGCAGGTGGAGCAGTCACCAACCTCACCCACTCAAGGAAACAGGGATGGCCAGATTCCCACAGTCTGAGTGACCACAACCTGACAGCTGATGGAGCGGAGGCCTGAGGAAAAGCAGATGGCACTGGGGCTCCACTTCCAGGGCAGAATAACTGATTTACCCTGACTGGCAGGGAGTGACGTTGGTGGCTGGTCCACTGGCTCCTGGCACACCATTGCAGAGGTGGGTGGTTGCTCTTTGAGCCAGCTTGGCTTTGCCTGGCATGCACAGGCCTCAGTGCAACAAATGTGCTGCAAATGGAGCCACATAGAGGAAATGAGCAGCAGGCTCAGAACTGGGGTGTGTGCCGCCTTTGGGGCTCCAGTCCAAGCATCGGGGCTTCTACAGCACTGTGGGCTTCTCGGGTGCCAAGAGGCAGACCACAGGCCATCTTGAGGAGGACTCTGGTAAGAGCTTCCTTGTGTACGTGGATGATGTCCAGAATGTTGGCCTGGTGTCCCTGAGACAGCACTAACAAGTCCATGACTGGGTCCAGATCCTGCCTGGGCTGATGGGCAAAGAGCTCACTGACAGTGTGGAAGGCATCTATGGTGAAGTGGATCTATGTTCAAGTGCAGAAAGGGCCCAATCTTGTAGATGAACCACACAGCCAGCTTCTGGATGCAGGTGCAGTGCCACATTGTTTGTCACTTCCTGATGTGCTCCACCAGCACTGAAGAGATAGCCTGGAGACAGGGCAAGAGGAAGGCTGAGAAGGATGAGATGGTGAGTGCCAGATTCTTCCTGGCCCTGAGCCCACCCCCAGTGTGACACTCAACTTTTAGGCGTGGGAGAGCAAGATTGACGGCTTCAAGTGCTTCACCAAGAAGATGGACAACAGGGCACTCAGCTCAACTTCACAGCCAATGAGTGGTGGCAGGCTTTGAGAAAGAGCATCAGAAGCCTGACAGTTCTTCAGCCTCAGCCAGGCCTTGGAGCTGGACCAGGCCATCCACTTCAGTATAGATGCCTTCCACTCTGTCAGTGAGCTCTTTGCCAGTCAGTCCAGGAAGGACCTGGACCTAGCCATGGACCTGTTAGTGCTGTCTCAGGGACACCAGACCAACATCCTGGACATCATCCACATACACAAGGAAGCTCTTACCAAAGTCATGGAGAGCAGGCAACATGTGGCAGAAGGGAAGACAGAGGTGCAGAGGCTGATGACGTCAGAATCACAGGAACAGGATTTCTTTGGCCACTTTGGCTGAAATTCACCACTTCCATCCAATTCCAGTGAGAGACATGGACTCACAGATGCAGCATTTCTTGCAACAAGAGATACTACTTTTTCAAAAAGTCACCCAGGAATTGATAGTGTTGAATGACTCGATACTCGATCGTGGACGGTTTCCAGTTCAAGGATACTTTCTACAGCAGAATAATAACACTAGCAAAGAGCTAGTACAAGGATGGTTTTGTGCTCAACTGAAATCCAGTTGAATACAGAATTGTATAGGAAACAGTTAATATGGTGATAGAATAGAAACAGTAGCAATCGTGAACTAAATCATACTATGAATGCCTAAACTACTGCTGTAACTTTTGGAAAAATGATAATACCACTTTATTGCTTTTCGAAGTATGAATATTTTAGTGTATATGCTCTAGACTTAAAACTCTATAAAGAGTCTCAAAGAAGTTGGCTGGATAAAGCCTGCTGTGGATGTCTTTATATTCAAAGATTGATGATGCAATTTGAATATGTGTCCCCACCGAATCTCATGTTGAATTATATTTCCTAATGTGGAAGGTGGATCCTGGTATAATGTGATTGAATTATGAAGGCAAATTTCTCATGAATGGTTCAGCACCATCCCCTTGTACCATCCTCACAATAATGAGTAACTTCTCATGAGATGTAGTCACTGAAATCTCTATATCACCTCCCCACTCTCCGTGTTTTCCCCTTGCCATGTGAGACAATTGATTCTTTCTTTGCCTTCCATGATTATTGAAAGATTTCTGAGGCCTAGAAGCAGAAGCACTGTGCTTAGAACCATGAGCCAATTAAACCTCTTTTTCAAAATAAATCATACGGGAAATGGCAAATGAGGACTGGAGCGTTGCTATAAAGATACCTGGAAATGTGGAAGCAGCTTTGGAACCAGGTAATGGACGGAGGTTGGAAGAGTTTGGAGGGCTCAAAAGAAGACAGATGAGAAAACTTTTGGACCATCTTAGAGTCTGGTTCAATGGTTGTGACAAAAATCCTGACAGAAACATGGACAGTGAAGGCCAGGCTGAGGAGGTCTCAGAGAGAAATAAGAAGCTTTCTGGAAAATGTCTTCCTTTTGGAAATGGAAAGCTTACACAATGCCTGCTTTTTATTTCAGAGACTCATAGGCAAAAGAGACTGTAGCCTTGACCCAGATGAGACTTTGGACTTTGTAACTTTGAGTTAATCCTGAAATGAGTTAAGAATTTGGGAGACTGCTGGCAAGGCATGTTTGTATTTTGCAATGTGAGAAGGACATGAGATTCATTGGGTCAAGGACAGAATAATACGGTTTTTGTCTATGTCCCTACCAAAACTCATGTGGAATTATATTTTGTAATGTTACAGGCAAGGTCTAGGTGGAAAAAGATTTAGTCATAAAATGGTGCAGGTAGATACTTCACGAATGATAAAGAACCATCACCTTGATGCTATACTCCTGATAATGAGTGAGTTCCCATGAGATCTGGTTGTTTAACAGATCTCATCCTCCTGCTTCTGCTTTAGGAGACATCTCATTGTCCCTTGGCTTTCTGATATAATGAGGAGGCTTCCTGATTCCTCACAGAAACAGAAGACACTATACTTCCTTCACAGCTTGCAGAACCATGAGTCAATTACACCTCTTTTATTTACAATAATACAGAAAAGTAGAACTGCAGAGAGGAGCTGTGAAATGCCTTCAAGGCCTTTTTCCCTTTGTTTTGGCTATTAGCACAGGGCTTCTTTATATGCAAATTTCTGAAATCTTCTTGAATGTTTCCCCTTAAATGGGATTTTTGTTCTTGCTACATAGCCAACCTGCTATACAGATATCTGAAAAAGTAGAAGCAGGCTCAGTAGTGGGTAGCAAACAAGGATTGGAAGGGTTTGGAGGGATTAGATTATGACAGGGAGAGGGAGGGAGTGATTTAATCATGGATGGGTGGGGGTGGATGTGGAAGGGAAAAAGGGGTGGGTAGGGTGGGAGGGAGTAGACTGGCTGTACGGTGGTGGGAGGGTGGTGGGTAGTAGGAAGGGGTAGTAGCCTGCTGCAGAGGCAGAGTCTCATGGAAAATCCCTACTAGGGAAGCGCACCTGTGGCTTTGCAGGTTTGAGCCCCAATGGCTGCTTTCATGGACTGGACTAGTGTTGAGTGCCTGTAGCTTTTCCACACGGAGGGTGCAAGCTGTTGGTGGGTCTATGTATCTGGGGTCTGGAGGGTGGTGGCCCCCTGCATGGGGGCTCCAAGTCCATATTTTCCTTCTGCACTGCCCTAGTAGAGGTTTCCCAAGAAAGCTTCATCTGCAGCAGGCTTCTGCCTGGAAACAGTGGGAGGTGGGGGTGGGAGGCAAATCCTTCACCAATGGTTAGGCAACATCTTCTTGATGCTGTCTTCATGATAGTGTGTTCTCATGAGATCTGGTTATATAACAGGGGGTGGCACCTCTTTCCTCTCTCAGTCTTTCTTCTACCCCTGCCATTTGAAACATCTCATTGCCCCTTGGCCTTCTGGTATGATTGGAAGGCTTCCTGATCTGATCCTCCCAGAAGCAGAAGCCACTGTGCTTCCTTTACAGCCTGCTGGACCGTGAGCCAATTAAACCTCTTTTCTTTATGATCATGCAGAAAATTAGTACTATGAAGTGGAGCCATGAAATGCCTTCAAGGCCCTTTCCCCTTTGTCTTGGCAACCAGCACTCAGCTTCTTTTCATGCAAATATCTGAATCCTTCATGAACTTTCCCCCTGAAAATGGACTTTTCTGTTTTACCACATTGCCAGGCTGTGATAAAGATAGCTGACAATGTAGAACCAGGTTCAGAAGTGGGTAAAAGACAGAGGTCAGAAGAGTTGGGAAAGCTTAGAAGACAGCAAGATGAGGAAAATATTGGACCACTATAGAGAATTGTTAAATACTTGTGATAGGAAGGCTGACAAAAGTGTAAACACTGAAGTCCAGACCTAAAAGTTCTCAGATGAAAATGAGGAATTTCCTATGAACAAGAGACAAGATTACATTTGATTGGCCTTAGCAAAGAAGCTGGCTGCATGGGGACCCTGCCCTGGAGATCTGTGAAACTATGAACTTGGGGGTGATGATTTAGGATGTATCTGGTGAAATGAACATCTAGGCAGCATAGCACAAGAGGTGTCCTGCCTACATTGAACAGCTTGTGTTCTTATGGGTGACCTAAGAAGTGACTTCAAGTTGGAACTTCAAGTGGAGATCTAAAGTTTGGAAAATGTGGAGCCTGGCTAAGTGGTCAAAAAGAAAAGCCGATTTTGAGGGGGAAAATTCAAGAAGGCTTAGGTTATTTGTATAAAAAGGAACCCAGTGCAAAACGCCAAGACAGTGGGAAACCGGCCTTGAAAGCATTTTAGAGATGTCTGCAGCAGCCCTTGCTGTCACAGGCCCTGGGGCCTAGGAGAAAAGAATGGTTTCCTAGGGCAGTCCCATGGCTCTGCTGCTGTGCTCAACCGCAGGACACTGCTGCCAGCATCCGTGCAGCTCCAGCACCAGCCATGACTGAAAGATGCACAGGTACAGCTTGGGTCATTGCTTCAGAGGTGCCTCAAAGTCTTGATGGTTTCCATATAGTGTTAAGCCAGTAGGTGCACAGAGAAAGAGATTAGAGGATTGAGAACTCCCATCTAGACTCCAGAAGATGTACAGAAAATCCTGGATGTTCAGGAAGAAGCTTTTCCAAGAGGCAGAGCTTCATGGGGAACCTCTACTAGAGGAGCAAAGAAGGGACCTATAGGGTTGAAGCCCCCACACAGGGAGGCATCATTCTCTAAACCCCAGATTCATAGACCCATAAACAGCTTTCACCCTCATTGTGGAAAAGCTATGGGCACTCAACAACAGCCCTGTCCATGAGAGACAGCTGCGGAGGCTGAACGCTGCAAAGCCACAGGTGCAGATCTGCCCAAGGCCTTGGGAGCTCAGCCCTCACAGCCCTCTGCCATGGATATGGGACAAGGATTCAAAAATGGTGATTTTGGAGCTGTAGCATTAAGTGACTGGCCTGCTGGGTTTTGGACACTTATGTATCCTATGAGTCACCCACTGCCTGTACAATCATTGTACCTTGGAAGTAGTAAACTTGCTTTACAATTCACTGGCTCATGGGCAGGAGGGACTGTAGACTTGTCTCAGATAAGACTCTGGGCTTTGTGCATTTGAGTAAATGCTGGAATGAGTTAAGATTTGAGAGACTCTAGGGAAGGCATCATTACATTTTGCAATGTGAGAAAGACATGAACTTTGGGGGACCAGAGACAGAATAATAGGTTTTGGCTCTCTGTCTCTACCAAAACTCATGTGGAATGTTAATGCAAAATGTTAAAGGTGGGGGCTGATGGAAGGTGATTTAATCATGGTGGAGAGTGGAGGTTGGATGGTTGGGGGCACCGGGAGGGTGGGGGGGATTCTGGGGTGGAGAGGGTTGGAGGGAATCGGGGGTGGGGAGGGTTGGAGGGGATTGTGGTGGGGTTGGGGGTGAAAGGCAGGGGTGGGGGTGGATCCTTCACAAATGGTTAAACACCATCTCCTTAATGCTGTCCTTCTGATAGTGAGTTCTCTTCATGACTTTGGAGCTGTGAGATTGAATGAACACTGACGTACTGGATTTTGGATGTCCATTGGGCCTGTGGTCCCATTTGTGTTATTTTTCTTGGAAATTTCTTCCCTTTGGATTGAGAAAGTTTACCCAGTACCTGTACCATCATTGTACCTTGAAAGAAACAAACACCCTTTTAACTTCAGGGACTCATAAGCAGAAGAGACTGCAGCCTTGTCTCAGATGAGACTTAGAACTTTTTACATTTGAGTTAATGCAGGAAGGAGTTAAGCCTTTTGGAAACCTTTGAAAAGGCATGATTGTATTTTATTCTGTGAAAAGGATATGATATTTGGGGGGTCAAGGTCAGCATAATATGATTTCGCTGTGTGCCCCTGGAAAAACTCATGTGGAATTGTAATCCCAAATTTTGGAGATGGGGCCTGGTGGGAGATTATTTAATCATGGATGGGAGGTGTAGGGGTGGAAGAAAAAAGGGGTGGGTAGGGTGGGGTAGAGTAGGCTGGCTGTAGGGCCGTGGGAGGGTGATGGATATTAGGAAGGGGGAGTAGCCTGCTGCAGAGGCCGAGGCTCATGGAAAACTTCTACCAGGGCAGTGCACCTGTGGCTTTGCAGGCTTTAGCCCCCATGGCTGCTCTCATGGGCTGGGCTGGTGTTGAGAGCCTATCACCTTTCCATACTGAGGGTGTGAACTGTTGGTAGGTCTATGAATCTGGGGTCTCGAGGATGGTGGCCTCCTGCATAGTCAGTCAAAGCCCTTATTTTCCTTCTGCACTGCCATAGTACAGGATTCCCAAGAGCCTCTGCCTCTGCAGCAGGCTTCTGTCTGGAACACTAGGAGGTGGAGCTGTGTTGGGGGGCGGATCCTTCACCAATGGTTAAGCACCATCTTCTTGATGCTGACCTAGTGATAGTGAGTTCTCATGAGATCTTGTTATATAACGGTGTGGCACCTCTTTCCTCTCTCAGCCTTGCTCCTACTCCTGCCGTATGAAATATTTCATTGCTGTTTTCCTGTTGGTATGATTGGGAGTCTTCCTGAGTCCTCCCAGAAGCAGAAGCCACTATGCTTTCTTTACAGCCTGCAGAACCATGAGCCAATTAAACCCCTTTTCATTATGATCATACAGAAAATAAAGTACTGCGAAGTGGAGCTATGAAATATCTTCAATGACATTTCCCCATCGTCTTGGCTATTAGCACTGGACTTCATTTTAATGCAAATATCTGAAGCCTTCTTGAAGTTTCCCCCTGAAAATGGACTTCTTTTTCTTCTACATTGTCAGGCTGCAACAAAGATAGCTGAAAATGTAAAGCAGGTTCAGAAGTGGGTAACAGCCAGAGGTTGGAGAGTTTGGAGAGCTTGAAAGAAGACAGGAAGATGAAAGAAATTTTGGACCATCGTAGGCACTTGTTGAATAGTTGTGATTAAAAGGCTGGCAGAAGGATGGACAGTGAAGGCCAGGCTTACAAGGTCTCACATGAAAATGAGGAAATTACTGGGAACAGGAGCCAAGGTTACTTTTGTTTTGCTGTAGCAAAGAACATGGCTGCAGGGCGACCTTGCCCTCGAGATCTGTGAAACTTTGAACTTGAGGGTGATGATTTAGTGCATATCTGGTGGAATGAACTTCTAGGCAGCATAGCACAAGGGGGATCCTGTCTGCATCAAACAGCCCGTGTTCTTGTGTGACCGAGGTTATGTGTGACCGAGGAAATGACCTCAAGTTGGAACTTATATTTAAATGACAAGCAGAGCTCAAAAGTTTAGAAGCATTTGCAGCCTGGCCAAGTGGTCAAAAAGAAAAGCTGATTTTCAGGGGGAAAATTCATGAAGGCTCCAGAAATTTGCATAAAATGGAGGCCAGTGCTAATAGCCAAGACAATGGGGGGAAAAAGCCTTGGAGGCATTTCAGAGATGGTTGCAGCAGCCCTTGGTGTCACAGACCCTGGGGCCTAGGAGAGAAGAATGGTTTCTGGGGCCAGCCCCATGGCCCTGCTGCTGTGTGCAGCCTCAGGACACTGCTGCCTGCATCCCAGCAGCCGCAGCACCTGCTCCGACCTTGGCTGAAAGATGCACAGGTACAGATTGCATCACTGCTTCAGAGGGTACAAGCTATAAGGCTTCACGGCTTCCACATAGTCTTAAGCCAGCTAGTCCATAGAGCACTAGCCCAGAGGCTTCAGAGCCTTCATATAGATTTTGGAAGATGTATGAAAATGCCTGGGTGTCCAGACAGAAGGCTGCCAAAAAAGGAGAGCCTCCTGGGAAACCTCTACTAGGGCAGTGCAGAAGGAAAATAGGGGGTTGGAGCCCCCACACTGGAGGCCACCATATGCAGACCCCAGATTCATAGACCCACCAAGAGCTTTGTACACTCTGTGGGTAAAAACTACAGGCACTCAACACCAGCACAGCCCATGAGGGCAGCTGTGGGGACTGAAAACTGCAAAGCCACAGGTGCAGACCAGCCCAAGGCCTTGGGAGTCCAGCCCTCATGCCCTTGTGCCCTGGATGTGGGACAAGGATTAGAAAAGGATGACTTTGGAGCTGTAGGTTTGAGTAACTGGCCTGCTGGGTTTTGGATTTTCCTGGGACCTGTAAGTCCCGTTTGTGTTTCGTTGTTCTCTCTGGCAAAAATCTTCCTTTAGGGTGGGAATTCTTACTCAATGCCTGGACAATCATACCTTGGAAATAGTTAACTTGCTTTGTATTTCAGAGGCTCAGGAACAGAAGGGACTGCATCTTTGTCTCAGATGAGACTTTGGGCTTCAGACATTGAAGTAAATGCTGGAATGAGTTAAGACCTTGGAGGTCTTAGTCAAGACGATGGGGAAAAGTCATTGAAGGCATTTCATAGCTTCACTTCACAGTACTAATTTTCTGTATGATCATAACAAAAAGGGGTTTAATCGGCTGATGGTTCTGCAGGCTGTAAAAAAAAAAGCATAGTGGCTTGGGGAATTGTAAGTAAGGCATCACTGTATTTTGCAAAATGAGAAGGACATGAGATTTGGGGAGGCAGGGACAGAATAATAAGATTCGGCTGTGTGTCGCTATGGAAACTCATGTGGAATTGTAATCAGAAATGTTAAAATTGGGGCCAGGTGGAAGGTGATTTAATCATGGAGGGAACTGGGTGTTGGAAGGTGGAGACTGGGGAGGATGGGTGGATTATGCTGGGGGTGAGGGGTGAAAAGTGGGGGTGGGGGGATGATCCCTCACAAATAGTTAAACACCATCTCCTTAATCCTTTCCTCATGATGGTGAGTTCTCGTGATGGTTTTGGAGCTGTGAGATTTAATGGATACTGGTCTCCTGGGTTTTGGACTTGCATTGGCCCTGTGATCCCATTTGTGTTATTTTCCTGGCAAACCTCTACCCTTTGGATTGAGAAAACTTACCCAATGCCTGTACCATCATTGTACCTTGAAAGAAAAGAACTCCCTTTTAAATTCAGGGACTTATAGGCAAAAGGGACTGTAGCCTTTTCTCAGGTGAGACGTGGAACTTTTTACATTCGAGTTAATGCTGAAATGACTTAAGACTTTTGGCAACTTTTGAAAAGGCATGATTGTATTTTACTCTGTGAGAAGGATATGATATTGGGGGATCAGGGTCAGAATAATATGGTTTAGCTGTGTGTCCCTACCTAAACTCACATGTAATTGTAATCCCGAATGTTGCAGGTGGGGACTGGTGAGAGGTGACTTATTCATGGATGGGAGAGGGGTGGGGTTGGAAGTAAAAACAGGTGGGTAAGGGGGGGAGGAGTAGGCTGGCTGTAGGGTGGTGTGTAGCAGGAAGGGAGTAGCCTGCCACAGAGGCAGAGGCTCATGGAAAACCTCTACTAAGGCAGTGCACCTGTGGTTTTGCACCTGTGGCTTTGCAGGGTTTAGCACCTGCTGCTGCTCTCATGGGCTGGGCTGGTGTTGAGTACCTGAAGCTTTTCCATACTGGGGGTGTGAGCTGTTGGTGGGTCCATGACTCTTGGATCTGGAGGATGGTGGCGTGGGGGCTCCAAGCCCATATTTTCCTTCTGTACTGCCCTAGTAGAGGTTTTCCAAGGGGATCTGTCTCTGCCTCAGGCTTCTGCTTGGAAACAGTGGGTGGTGGATATGGGGAGGTGGGCGGATCCTTCACCAACAGTTAAGCACAATCTTCTTGATGCTGATCTCCTGATAGTGAGCTCTCATGAGATATAGTTGTATAACAGGATGTCTCACCTCTTTCCTCTCTCTGTCTTGCTTCTACTCCTGCCATATGAAATATTTCATTGCCGCTTGGCCTTCTGGTATAATTGGGAGGCTTTCTGAGTCCTCCTACAAGCAGAAACCACTATGCTTTCTTTACAGCCTGAAGAACTGTGAGTCAATTAGACCTCTTTTCTTTATGTAGATACAGAAAATTAATGCTGTGAAGTGAAGTTATGAAATGACTTCTAGGCGTTTCCCCCATTCTCTTGGCTATTAGCGCTGAGCTTTATTCAATGCAAATATTGGAGGCCATCTTGATGTTTCCCCTGATAATGGACTTTTCTTCTTTTACCATATCGCCAGGCTGCAACAAAGATAGCTGACAGTGTAGAAGCAGGTTCCAAATTGGGTAATGGCCAGAGGTTAGAGAGTTTGGAGAGCTTGGAAGAAGATAGCAAGATGAGGGAAAGTTTGGACCATTGCAGAGACTTGTTAAATAGTTATGATTAAAAGGCTGACAGAAGGATGGACACTGAAGGCCAGGCTTGTAAGGTCTCAGATGAAAATGAGGAACTTACTGGGAAAAGGAGCCAAGGTTTTTTTCTTTTGCCTTAGCAAAGTAATTGGCTACACAGTGACCATTCCCTGGAGATCTGTGAAACTGAACTTTAGGGTGATGATTTAGGGTGTATCTGGTGGAATGAACTTCTAAGCAGCAAAGCTGAAGAGTTGTCCGGCCTACGTCGAACAGCCTGTGCTCCTATGTGTGATGAAAGAAATTACCATAAGTTGGAACTTATATTTAAATGAGAAGCAGAGCTTCAACATTTGGAAAATTTGTAATATGGACAAATGGTCAAAAAGAAAAGCTGATTTTCAGGGGGAAAATCAAGAAGCCTTCAGATATTTGCCTAAAAAGGAGCCCAGTGCTAATAATTCAAGACAATGGGAAAAAGGCCTTGAAGGCTTTTCAGAGACTTTGTAGCAGCCCTTGCTGTCACTGGCCCTGGGGTTTAGGAGAAAAGAATAGTTTCCTGGCCCAGCCCCATGGCTCCACTGCTGTGTGCAGCCTCAGGACACTGCTGCCTGCATCCCTGCAGCTCCTTTTCCAGCTCCAGCCATGGATGAAAGATGCACAGGTACAGCTTGTGTCACTGCTTCAGAGGATGCAAGCTCCAAGCCTTGGTAGCTTCCACATAGTGTTAAGCCAGCAGGTGCATAAAGCACAGGACTAGAAGCTTCAGAGCCTTGGTCTGGACTCCAGAGGATATATCAGAAATCCTGAGTGTCTAACCAGAAGCTTTTCCAAGAGGCAGAGCCTCATGGTAAACCTCTACTCGGGCAGTACAAAAGGAAAGTATAGGGTTGGAGTCCCCATACAGGGAGGCACCATTTTCCAGACCCCAGTATCATAGACCCACCAGCTGCTTGCACCCTTAGTGTTGAAAAGCTACAGGCACTCAACACCAGCCTAGCCAATGAGGGCAGCTGTAGGGGGAAGATTCTGCAATGCCACATGTGCAGAGCTGCCCAAGGCCTTGGGATCCCAGCCATCACAAAACCCTGTGCTCTGGATGTGGACATAGATTCCAAAAAGATGATTTGGAGCTGTATGATGGAATGCCTGGCCTGCTGGGTTTTTGACTTGCAGGGGGTTTGTAAGTCCCATCTGTGTTTTGTGCTTCTTTCTGGGAAATTTCTACTTTTTGGCTTGGAATGCTTACCCAATGCCTGTACAATCATTGTAACTTGGAAGTGGTTAACTTGCTTTGTATTTCAGAGGCTCAGGGCAGAAGATATGGCAGCCTTGTCTCAGAGAAGACTTTGGCCTTTGGACATTTGAGTTACTGCTGGACATTGGGGGACTGTAGAGAATGCATCATTGTATTTTGCAGTATGAGAAGGGTGTGAGATTGGGGGGCCAAAGGAGAATAATACGATTTGGCTCTGTGTCCCTACCAAAACTCATGTGGAATTATAATGGGGAATGTTAAGTGTGGGGCTTCGTAGAAGGTGATTTAATCATGGTAGAGAATGGGGGTTGGAAGGGGGATGTGGGAGAATGGAGGTTCATGGTGTGGGTGAGGGTGAAACATGGGGATGGGTGGCAGATCCTTCACAAATGTTTAAATACTATCTCCTTAATGCAGTCTGTGTGATAGTGAGTTCTCGTGATAAATGAATGCTGTCCTGCTGGGTTTTGGAGTCGGATTGGGCCTGTGTCCCATTTGTGTTATTTTTCTGGGAAAACCTTCCCTTTGGTTTAAGAAAGCCTACCCAATGCCTGTGCCATCATTGTAACTTGAAAGAAAAGAATTTTTTTTTACATTCAGGGACTCATAGGCAGAAGGGATTGCAGCCTTGTCTTGGATGAGACTTGAACTTACTACATTTGAGTTACTGCTGGAATGAGTTAAGACTTTTTGAAACTTTTGAAAAGGCATGTTTGTATTTTTCTGTGTGAGAAGGACATGAGATGTGGGGGTGTCAGGGTCAGGATAATATGGTTTGGCTGTGTTTCCCTACAAAAACTCATGGGGAATTGTATTCCTGACAGTTGTAGGTTGGGCCTGGTGGGAGGTGATTTAATCACAAACAGGAGGTTGGTAGGGGTGGAAGGGAAAACAAATGGGTAGGATGGGGAGGAGTAGGCTGGCAGTAGGGTGGTGAGAGTTTCGTGGGCAGTAGTAAGGGGGAGTAGCCTGCTGCAGAGGCAAAGCCTCAAGGAAAACCTCCACCAGGGCAGTGCACCTATGGCTTTGCAGGGTGTAGCCCCCATGGCTGCCCTCATAGGCTGGGCTGTTGCTTGAGTGCCTGTAGCTTTTCCATACTGAGAGTGCAAGCTGTTGGTGAGTCTATGAATCTGGGGTCTGAGGATGGTAACCTCCTGTGTGGGGCCTCCAAGCCCATATACTTTTTCTGCTCTGCCCTATTAGAGGTTTTCCTAGTGGCTCTGCCTCTTCCTCAGGCTTCTGCCCGGAAACAGTGAGGGGTGTGGGTGGTAGGGGGCAGAACTTTCACCAATGGTTAAGCAACATCTTCTTGATACTGACCTTGTGATAGTGAGTTCTCAGGAAATCTGGTTGTATAACAGGGTTATACAACGCGTGGCACCTTTTTCCTCTCTCTGTTTTGTTTCTACTTCTGCCATATAAAACATCCCATTGCTGCTTGGTCTTCTGGTATGATTGGGAGGCTTCCTGAGTCCTCCCAGAAGCAGAAGCCTCTATGATTTATTTAAAGCTTGTAGAACCATGAGCCAGTTCAACCTCTTTTCTTTCTGATTATACAGAAAAATAATGCTATAAAGTGGAACTATGAAATGCCTTCAAGGCCTTTTTCCTATTCTCTTGGCAATCAGCACTCAGCTTCTTTTCAGGCAAATGTCTGAAGCCTGCATTAATTTTTCTCCTGAAATAGACTTTTCTTCTTTTACCACATTGCCAGGCTGTGACAAACGTAGCTGAAAATGTAGAAGCAGGTTGAGAAGTGTGTAATGGCCAGAGGTTGGAGAGTTTGGAGGTCTTGGAAGAAGACAGGAAGATGAGGAAAAGTTTGGAACAGTGTAGAGACTTGTTAAATAGTTATAATTAAAAAGGTGACAGAAGGATGGACAGTGATCACCAGGCTTAGAAGGTCTCACATGAAAATGAGGAGCTTGCTGGGAACAAGAGTCAAGGTCACTTTTGTTTTTTTCTTAGCAAAGATTGTTGCTGCACAATGCCCCTAACCTGGAGACCTGTGAAATTTTGAACATCAGGGTGATAATTTAGAGTGTATTTGGTGGAATGAAATTTTAGGCAGCAAAGCTTAAGAGGTTTCCTGTCTGTGTCGAACAGCCTGTGGTCCTATATGTGACCAAAGAAATGACCTCAAGGTGAAACTTGTATTTAAATGAGAAGGAGAGCTTAAAAGTTTGGATAATTTGAAGCCTGGCCAAGTGGCCAAAAAGAAAAGCTGATTATCAGTGGGAAAGTTCAAAAAGTCTTCAGAAATGTGCATAAAAAGGAGTTCAGTGCTAATAGCCAATACAATGTTAAAAAGGTCTTGAAGGCATTTCAGAGACTTTTGCAGCAGCCCTTGCTATCACAGGCCCTGAGGCCTGGGAGAAAAGAATGGTTTCCTTCTCCAGCCCCATGGCCCCACTGCTATGTCCAACCTCAGGACACTGCTGGCTGCATTCCTGAAGCTCCAGCTCCAGCCTTGGCTGAAAGATGCACAGGTACAGCTTGCATCACTGCTTCAGGGGTGCAAGCTTCAAGGCTTGGTGGCTTCCACATAGTGTTAAGCCAGCAGCTGCACACAGCACAAAACTAGAAGCTTGCAAGCCTTTGTCTAGACTCCAGAGTATGTACGGAAAAACCTGGGTGTTCACACAAAATCTTTTCCAAGAGGCAGAGCCTCATGGGAAACTTTTACTAGGGCAGTACCGAAGGAGAATTTAGGGCTGGAGTCCCTAAATATGGAGGCACCATTCTCCAGACTCCAGATTCATAGACTCACCAACAGCTGGCACCCTTAGTATGGAAATGCTACAGGCACTCAACATCAGCCCAGCCCATGAGGGCAGCTGTGGGGTATAGACCCTGCACAGCCACAGGTGTAGAGCTGCCCAAGGCCTTGGAAGCCCAGGCATCACACACCTGTGCTCTAGATGTGAGATGTAGATTCAGAAAAGATGATTTGGAGCTGCAGGATTCAATGACTGGCCTGCTGGGTTTTTGACTTGCATGGGGTCTGTAAGTCCTTGTACATTTCAGTAAATGCTGGAATGAGTTAAGTCATTGGGGGACAGTAGAGAAGTCATCAGTGTATTTTGCAGTGTGACAAGGATACAAGATTTGGGGAGCAAGAGCCAGAATAATATAATTTGATTCTGTGTCCCTACCCATGCTCATGTGGAATTGTAGTGGGGAATGTTAAAGGTGGGAACTGGTGGGAGGTGATTTAATCATGGAGAAGAGTGGGTGTTGGAGGTAGGGGTGTGGGGAGAATGGGAGAGATTATTTTGTGGGTGGGAGTGAAAGGTGAAGGTGGGGGGCAGATTCTTCACAAATGAGTAAACACTATCTCCTTAATGCTGTCCGCACGACAGTGAGTCCTCTTGATGATTTTGGAGCTGTGAGATTGAGTGAATACTGTCCTGCTGGGTTTTGGACTTGCATTTGTGTTATTTTTCTGGGCAACTTCTTCCCTTTGGATTGAGAAACCTTACCCAATGCCTGTTCTACCTTGAAGGAAAAGAAATCCCTTTTAAATTCAGGGACTCATTGGCAGAAGGGACTGTAACCTTGTCTCAGATGAGATTTTGAAATTTTTACATTCGGAATGAGTTAAGACTTTTGGAAACTTTTGAAAAGGCATGATTGTGTTTTGCTCTGTGAGAAGGACATGAGGTTCTGGGGAATCAGGGTCAGAATAATATGGGTTGGCTGTGTGTCCCTATAAAACTCACGTGTCATCCTTAATGTTGGAGGTGGGCCAGGTGGGAGGTGACTTAATCTTGGATGGGAGGGGGTTGGGGTGGAAGGAAAAGGAGGGATAGTGTGGGGAGGAGTAGGTTGTCAGTAGGGTGGTGGGAGGGTGGGAGTAACCTGCTGCAGAGGCAGAGGCTCATGGGAAACCTCTACTAGGAGAGTGCACCTGTGGCTTTGCAGGGTGTAGCCCCCATGGCTGCTCTCATGGGCTGGGTTGGTGTTGAGTGCCTGTAGCTTTTCCATACTCAGAGTGTGAGCTGTTGGTGGGCTTATTAATCTGGAGTCTGGAGGATCGTGGCCTCTTGTGTGGGGGCTCAAAGCCTATATTTTCCTTCTGCACTGCCATAGTGGAAGTTTCATAAGAGGTTCTGCCTCTGCAGGAGGCTTCTGCCTGGAAGCAGTGGGCGGTGGTGTGGTTGGAGAATCCTTCACCATTGGTTAGTCTTCTTGATGCTGATCTCCTGATAGTGAGTTCTCATGTGATCTGGTTGTCTAACAGGATGTCACGCCTCTTTCCCCTCTCTGTCTTGCTCCTACTCCTGCCATATGAAACATCTCATTGCCTCTTGGTCTTCTGATATGGTTAGGAGGGGCCTGATCAGTGTGGGCCTGCTCAGGGGACCTAGTCAGTTGGGACTTGTCAGTGAGGCCTATTTAGTGGGGGGTGGTCAGCAGGGGTCTGCTTAGAGTGGGTCTCATTAGAGGGATCTAGTAGTGCATGCCTTGGTGAGTGGGTTGATAGTGGTAGACAAATGTTTGGTGTCTGGTCAGTGCCAACCTGGGCTGTGGGACTTGGTCAGTGGAGACCTTGGGACCTAGTCAGCAGAGACGCTTGTCAGTGGGGCCCTGGTCAGGGCAGGCTGGTCCTTGGAACTTAATCAGTGGGGGCCTGGTCAGAGAGGACTTGATCATTGGTGGCTTTTGTAGCACTGGTCTACGGGGTGACCTGGTCAGCGGGGATCTGAGCAGTGCGTGCCTGTTCAGTGGGGCGTAGTCATTAGGGTCCCAGTCAGGAGCATCTTGTCACCTCAGTCCTGGTTAGCAGGGGCCTGGTCACTGGCTGCCTATTCCCTGCAGGCCTGGCCAGTGGGGCTTCATCTGTGGGACCAGACAATGGGGTCATGATCGGTGGAACCTGATCAGTGAGGCCTTGTCTGTAAGGACCTCGTCAGTGAGGCCTTGCCAGTGAGGCCTTGCCAGTGAGGCCTTGTCAGTAAGGTCCTCGTCAGTGGAGTCCTGGTCATTGTGGGCCTGGCAGCGGGAATCTAGTTAGTGAGGCCTGGTGATGGGGCTCTAATCAGTGAGGGTGTGGTCAGGGAGGAAGTGATATGCTGGAACTGGTCACCAGGGACCTGGTCAGTGGGGGCTGCTGAGTACTGCTGGGAGATGTCAGGGGAAATGCATGTTATCGAGGAGCCTGTGGACAGCTGGGGTGGCCCAGTGGTGTTCAATGGCCCAGTCAAAAGTGGACAAAGCAGGTGTTTGGATGGACCTGGGAGATCTTGCTCAGAGATTCTGACAGGACAAAGGTAAAGGAAGGGCCAGAGTGGTCGGAGAGATAGTCACAGTCTATGGTCTGCACAGGATGGAGGAGGCCAGGGAACAGGCAGGGTGGGCAGCTTGGTTTCAGGGAGAGGCAGGTGCATGCTGGGAGGTCAGACCCTATGAGGGTTGTGGGGGCGTCAGGTGGTGTGGGCTCCAGGTGCACCCTCAGCGCACTGGGCAGGTCTTGGCCCAGGCTCCCTGGACCTTGGTCGGGTGATGTGGTCACTTGCTGGGAGACTGTTGTCAGGTGCTGGACACCCACTCTGGGTAGCACTGTCCCATCTCAGGACTGGACTTCCTCAGATACTGCAGAGGGCACAGCCTCCAGCACAGGAGGGGAAGCCCCTTGGTGCAGCCTGAGCTCTCCATGGGCCTGGAGCATCCCCTGCCAGCCCTGCACTCCCTCTTCTCCCAGGTCCCACTTTTCCAGGGTCAGCCAGTGGGGAGGCCCCGTCCTCACTTCCCTATGTGTATCCTGGGCTGAAACTTGCAGTGCACTGGGACAGGCATGAGGCTTCCCTAAGGCCCATTTAGGGAGAGGACTGGCTCCCAGCCTGGCACAGGTCCTCAGCTCTGCCTTGGTTGCCTTAGAATGAGATGTACCAGTCAGTGCCCTGAAGGTAAAGGTAGGAGACTGTCCCTGCTGTTGGGAGGCTGGTCTAGGGATGGAGGACTTCACAGGTCCTCCCAGTCTGTCAGGCCTGGGCAGCACTGTCCTGTTTTAGGACTCAGAAAGTCCAGTTCTGGGATGGGACGGTGCTGCCCAGGGAGGGTGGCCAGGGTCTGACAGCAGTCCCCCAGGGAGTGACCACATCACCCAGCCGGGGTCCAGGGAGCCTGGCCTGAGACCTGCCCTGTGCACTGAGGGTGCACCTGGAGCCCACTCCACCTGATGCCCCCACAGCCCTCACAGGTCCTGACCTCCCAGCATGCACCTGCCTCTCCCTGAATTCCAGCTGTCCACCCTGCCTGTTCCCTCACTTCCTCCATCCTGTCCAGCAGGATGGGATGGGCAGGGGGACAGACTGTGTGCACATTTCATGGCAAGCAGGAGTGACACACCATCCCTGGGAGGCGTCTTGGTTCCTCCAAAACCCGGCCCCAGAACTCTGTCCTTGGGGTGGTTTTACCAAACCCCAAACCCAGAACTGTGGTTGTGGCTCAGGGGTCAGCACCCGCTAGTTCTACAATGTTGCCAAGGACTTTGATTGTACAATGTTCTTCTTTTCAATAGTCATTCCAAATATTGTGAGATGCACTGTTTCAGGAAGTCCCTTGCCCTCCTAAAAGCCACCCTACTTCTCTCTAAGGAGAATGGCCCAGTCCTCTCCCGAGTTCACACATGGTAGGCGATAGCATTGCTTTTGTGTAAATTACATAATGCAAATTTTTTTAAATCTTTGCCTTAATACTTTTAAATTTTGTTTTATTTTGAATGACTAGCCTTCATGGCCCCACTTTTTTGTATCCCAACTTGGAATGTATGAAGGGTTTTGGTCTCCCTGAGAGTGGTTCGAGGCAGCCAGGGCTTACCTGTACTCTGACTTGAGAAAAGTTGGATAAAAGTGTTCACCTTAAAAAAAATTGAATGACGAAGCATTAACAAAAACAGTATTTCAGTACAGTGGACAGCTTAGCATTTTGACAATTGGGAATAAAATGCTCATTTCTGAACTGTACAATGTAAGACACAAAAACAAAACACTGGAAATGGAAATTCAATTGTCATTATAGACTGGATACTGCTCTACATGACTGTGACCAAAGTCAGATAGTTGAAAGAGATTTCTTTCCAGAGAACAAGACATGAACAGGTTTATTTACAGAAAACAATGAATTCTCATATATCTAACCTAAAATATAGCAGATTCTTTCCGAACAAGTCTAATGTAGACAGTAAAATTAATAGGCTAAAAATTAAACTCCATCAAACAAGATGAACTCTGAGAGAATAGATGGGGCAGGCCGCCATCTTTCCGGTTCAGGCAACTTAGTCATTCCAGCCTGAGGGCTTTGGAGAGTATAAACCGACAAGGGGCAGAAGAGATCCCACAGCACAGCATAGCTGCTTTACCAAATCATGGCCAGAATGCTTCTGTAAGCAGGCCCCCGACCCTGTTGCACATCACTGTACAGGACCTCCCAAATGGGGCCTCCAGCTACCGCCACCAGCATTCCTTGGCCAATAGAAATTTGAAGTGTTCACGGGACAGAGCTCCCAGAGAGAGGGGCAGGCCACCACCTTTGCTGTTTGGGTGACTAGCCGTTCTGGTTTGCGGGCTTTGGAAAGCCCAAGGTGACAAGGGGTGGAAGAGGAACCTCAGCGCAGCACGGCCACACTACAAAAACGTGGCCAGACTCTTGTTTAAGTCAGTCCCCGACCACATTTCTAATCAGCAGGTGAAGCCTTTCAACCAGGGTCTCCAGCTGCCTTCACTGCTGTTCTCTGGCCGACAGAGGTTTCAGGCCTCCCTGAGTCAGAGCTCCCAGGGGGAGGACCAGACTGTTGTCTTTGCTGTTGGGGCAACTCAGCCATTTCAGCATTAGGGCTTCAGAGTGTCTGAGGCAACCAGGAGTGGAAGGGAACACCCGGCATAGCACAGCTGCTCTAGAAAAACATGCCCAGACTTTTTTTTTTTTAACTCAGTGCCTGTTTTTGTTCCTCCTGACTAGATAAGACTTCTCAACTTGTCTCCAGTCACATCTTATAGGTGTGTTCATACTGGCAACAAGTTCATACCTCAGTGGCACAGAGCTCCCAGAGGAAGGGGCAGGCTATCATCTTCCCTGGAAAATACAAGGCAGTTAGGGACTGGAGGGGACCCCCAGCATACCACAGCAGCCTGACAGAAAAGTGGCCAGACAGTCTACTTGATGGGCAGGTCCTACTGACCTGGGTCTCCAGCCAGTCCACCATCAGAGCTATCCAGCCAGTAGCAACTCAGCAATTCCCTGGACAGAGCTTCCAGGAGCAAACGAAATTCTCTCTGCCATTGCCTCCGCAGTGAAACTGCCCTTGCTACCCTCAGAATATCAAGGGAGCAAAGACCCTAAGTGCCATATTGACACCTCCAATAAGCTGCGGTTGACCCAATGAACAAGCCAGTCCATCTCCCACGGGTACCACACACCCCCCACTGCTCATCACCAGAGAGGGAACACTGGCTTGGCCTCACAACACAGACCCTCCATCCTGGGCTGATTACTCTAAGTGATTGCTAACTCACATCTCTATGGGATGGAGTACCCAGGAGACAAGCGGAGTGGTGGAGCAGCAAGTCAGGTGATGTGGAGCCCAGAGAGCAGGGACACCTATCTCTCTAGGCTCCACGTGCCCTTGTGAGATACTTTATCCCAGCACTTTAGGAATGCTAAGTTCAGATCAGCCCCATCTCATGTTCAAGATTGCCCAGCAGAGATCAGGTCCCAGAGTTCCCCTCCTCAAAAAGGGGACTTGCTTAAAAAAGAAGCCTGGCCATGTTTGTGTAAAGCAGCTATGCTGTGCTGGGGGTTCACTTTTGAGAGAGTTCTCCTCTGAGACCTGATCTCTGCTGGGCAGTCTTGCACATGAGATGGGGCTGGTCTGATATCAGCACTCCTTTGTCTGCTTGCCTCTCCCAGGACCCCAGCCTGGCCACACCTGCATACAGGGCACTCTCGGATGCCCACAGCATAGCTTCCGTGCTAGTGGACTGTACCTGATCAGTGGAGAGCTGCAGCAAGGTGGCCCCAACAGCCACGCACCAGCCTGCACATTACGTCTCCATACTGCAGCCCTTTATATGGAAACTTCCTACATCACTTTGCTGTGTGTGTTTACACATGTGGGTTTTGCTGTACTTGCCCTGACAGCACAGGGGAGTGCAGGACACACCCCAACCCACACCAACTGCCATTGAAGACAGAGCCTTGGTGGGCACAGAACCAAGAACCCCACCCCTGCCAGCACCTAACCCTTGAGCTAATTCTGTGCAGAGAAAAAGGGACCTTCTTATACCCTGAGTGACCACTGTTGCTTTGAGGGGCACAGAGAAGGCACCATGGCCTGCACTGGCCAGCAGCCCACCCTGAACCAACACTACCTCCAGTGCAACACACACACAGCAGGGGACCCCTGGCCCACACCCCAGCTGTCTTGCCTCCACCACTGGGTGAATGCCCGCAGGGAGGCAGGGACTTTTGCATCCACTAGCATTCTGCCACAGTTGCCACACTTTGGTCCCCTCAGTGCAGTGGACTCCAAACCTCCAAGAGCCAGAGAACAAAGTTGGGGCCCAAGACAAGTTCCCCAGAGTTAAAGCACACAGTCCAGGAATTGGAAGCTGCACATTGGCCCCCCTAAAATCCTCCAAAAACAAAGCCAGTTGGTTGAATCCACCTTATCCCACAATGAAACCCTCAAGATCATCAAATACAATAAAACAAAAATACCCTGTCCGAAGGTCAGCAACCTCGAAGATGGAAGGTGGATAAGCCCATAAAGATGAGAAAGAATCTGTGCGAGAACACTGAAAACTCAAAAAGTCAGCATGCTTTCTTTCCTCCAAATGACTGTATCAACTCTCCAGCAAGTGTTCAGAACTGGGCTGAGGCTGAGCTGTCTGGAATGATACAAGCAGGGTTCAGGATATGCGTAGGAACAAAGTTCACTGAGTGAAAGAAGTATGTTGTCATGCAATACAAGTGAGCTAAAAATCATTGTAACACATTGTAGGAGCTAACAGACAAAATAGCAAGTATAAAGAAGACATAACCGACCGAATAGAGCTGAAAAGCACACTACAAGAATTTTCATAATGCAGTCACATAGTGATTATGTGTGATTGCATTATGAAAATTATTGTAGTGTGTGTGGGCACCTGAGATTGCCCTGTAAGCAGGTGTGGCCAGGCTGGGGTCCTGGGAGAGGCAAGCAGACTAAGGAGGACTGTCACACCAGCTCCATCTCATGTGCAAGACCACCCAGCAGAATAGACCAAGCAGAGGAAAGAATCCCAGAGCTTGAAAACTGGCTTTCTGAAATAAAACAGGCAGACAAGAATGGGGGAAAAAAGAAGGAAAATGAATGAACAAAACATCCAAGAAATATGAGATTATATAAACGACCAAATCTATGACTGATTAGTGTACGTGAAAGAGATGAGGAGAATGGAACCAACTTGGAAAACATACTTCAGAATATCATTCATGAGAATATCCCCAACCTATCCAGACAAGCCAACATTCCAATTCAGGAAATCCAGAGAACCTCAGTAAGATAAGCCATGAGAAGATCATCCCCAAGACATATAATCATCAGATTCTCCAAGGTCAAAATGAAAGAAACACTGTTAAAGGCAGCTAGGGAGAAAGGCAACGTCACCTGCAAAGGGAATTCCATCAGACTTAGCAGACTTCTCAGCTGAAACCCTACAAGCCAGAAAAGATATTCAACTTCTTAAAGAAAAGAAATTTCACGTAGTATGGCAGAGACAGATATACCATATAATAACATGGTGTTATTATACATGGTTAAAAGAAAAAGAAATTTCAACCCAGAATTTCATGTCCAGCAAAATTAAGCATCATAAGTGAAGGAGAAACAAGATCCTTTTCAGACAAGCAAATGCTGAGAGAATTCATTATCACCAGATCTACCTTACAAGAGCTCCTGAATGAAGCACTAAATATGGAAAGAAAAGACCATCACCAGCCACTACAAAAATGCACCGAAGTACACAGACCAGTAATGCTAAAAACCAACCACATACACAAGTCTGCAAAATAACTAGCTGACAGCATGACGACAGGATCTAATCCACACATACCATTACTAACCTTAAATGGAAATGGGCTAAATGCTCCGATTGAAAGACACAGGGGGGCAAGCTGGATAAAGAACAAAGACCCATTTGAGTATGCTGTCTCCAAGAAACCCATCTCACATGCAGTGCCATACATAGGCTCAAAATGAAGGAATGGTGAAAAATCTTTCAAGCAAATGGAAAACAGAAGAAATCAGGTGTTACACTCCCAGTTTCGACAAAACGTATATACCAATAAAGATAAAAAAAGACAGAGAAGGTCATTACAAAGGTGGCCCTGACCTTTGATAAATCTCGTTATTGATTGATACCAACATGGGCTATCTTTATTGCCCAAACCAACAGGATAATTTGCTGAGGTTGTGGAGCTTCTCCCCTGCAAAGAGTCCCTGGTCTCCCAAAATCTGGTTGAGATCTAAGTTTGATTTTTCTGTACAACTCCTTTTCTGAAGTTTTACTCATTTCCAACAAGGAAGGCAAGTTTTCCTGCTTCTGTGGTGATGGAGAGCAGGCACCTCCTTTCCTGAGTTTCAGCTTGCTTCTGACAGGGAAGGTGAGTGTAAGTTGTTTTCAGCTTCTAAGATGGCAGAGAACGATCACCAGCCTGAGCCTTGTTTCCAGGTGAGTAGCTGAATTAGAGTTTTGTCTTAAAATTTGTCCTTAATGACTAAAATTTAAGATTACTCACCAGCTGCTTTTAATTTCTGCTTTTAGTTTCTCCTTACCATTAGAACACTCAGTAATCATATGAATTGTGCATTTGTTGTTTTGCTTAACTCTTTTTGTTTGTTTATGCTTGGGGCTTTATTGTTGTTTCACTTTTCTCCCTTCTCTTCCTGACTTGGTCAAATCCAAAGGAATTTTCCAAATTGTGGGGAGCAAGGCCTCTGAATTGGCTAAAACTCCTATGGCTGCAAACAAACAAACAAACAAATAAACAACAACAAAAAACATTCCAGTTAGCAGAAATTATTTTTTAAAACTTTTTTTTTTTTACATAAGTGGTCTCATCTACATAACAAGGCCACCCTTTTGCTAGCCAAGGCTAAACTGAAGGAGTAGTGGTGGTGACCCAGTGTGAAGATTCTGCCCTGTTCACTACAGAAACCTGAGTTTGGTTCCTAAGTCTAGTTCTTTCTGTTTGATATTTATGTTACTTTTAAAGCGTCAGCGGTTTGTCCCAGCTATGATGTGGTAATAAAAGATTCAAAAGGATTTTCTTCACAAGTTCTATGATTAAAAGCTTAATTAAAAGCAAATTTCTTTTTTTTTTTAAATTATACTTTAAGTTCTGGGGTACATGTGCAGAACATGCAGGTTACATAGGTATACACATGCCATGGCGGCTTGCTGCATCCATCAACCCATGATCTACATTAGTTATTTCTCCTAATGCCATCCCTCTCCTAGCCCCCCACCCTGACAGGCCCTGGTGTGTGATGTTCCCCTTCCTGTGTCCATGTGTTCCCATTGTTCAACTCCCAGTTATGAGTGAGAACATGTGGTGTTTGGTTTTCTGTTCTTCTGTTAGTTAGCTGAAAATGATGGTTTCCAGCTTCATTCATGTCCCAGCAAATGACGTGAATTCATCCCTTTTTATGGCTGCATAGTATTTCGTGGTGTATATATGCCACATTTTCTTTATCCAGTCTATCATTGGTGGGCATTTGGGTTGGTTCCAAGTCTTTGCTGTTGTGAACAGTGCCGCCATAAACAGACAGGTTCATGTGTCTTTATATTAGTATGATTTATAATTTTGGGGGTATATACCCAGTAATGGGATTGCTGGGTCAAATGATATTTCTAGTTGTAGATCCTTGAGGAATTGCCACACTGTCTTCCACAATGGTTGAAGTAATTTATATTCCCACCAACTGTGTAAAAGCTTTGCTATTTCTCCACATCCTCTCTAGCATCTGTTTTTTCCTGATTTTTTAACGATGACCATTCTAAGTGGTGTGAGATTGTATCTCATTGTGGTTTTGATTTCCATTTCTCTAATGACCAGTGATGATGTGCTTTGCTTCACATGTTCGTTGGCTGTATAAATGTCTTCTTTGGTAAGTGTCTGTTCATACCCTTTGCTCACTTTTTGATGGTTTTTTTTTTCTTGTAAATTTGTTCTTTGTAGATTCTGCATATTAGCCCTTTGTCAGATGGATAGATTGCAACAATGTTCTCCCATTCTGTGGGTTGCCTGTTCACTCTGATAATAGTTTCTTTTGCACTGCAGATACTCTTAAGTTTAGTTAGATCCCATTTGTAAATTTTGGTTTTTGTAGCCATTGCTTTTGGTGTTCTAGTGATGAAGACTCTGCCCATGGCTATGTCCTGAATGGTATTGCCTAACACAAGGACATTTCTGTGCCTGACTGCTATACCACCCAAAGTAATTTATAGACTCATTGCTGTCCCCATCAAGCTACCATTACTTTCTTCACAGAATTAGAAAAACTACTTTAAATTTCATATGGAACCAAAAAAGAGCCCACATAGCCAAGGCAATCCTAAGCAAAAACAGCAAAGCTAGAGGCATCACAGTACCTGACTTCAAATTATTCTACAAGGCTACAGTAACCAAAACAGCATGGGGCTGGTACCAAATCAGATCTATAGACCAATGGAACAGAACAGAGCCCTCAGAAATGACACCACACATCTAAAAGCATCTGATCTTTGACAAACCTGACAAAAACAAGCAATGGGAAAGGATACCCTATTTAATAAATGGTGTTGGGAAAACTGGCTAGCCAAATGCAGAAAACTGAAACTGGGCCACACCCATACACCTTAAACAAAAATTAAGTAAGATGGATGAAAGAGTTAGAAGTAAGACCTAAAACCATAAAAAATCTAGAAGAAAACCTAGGCCACCAACCTCAGGGGAAATGACCTGTAGTGAAATGCATGGTACAAACATGCATTCCCTGCTTCCTTTAGTGGGCAACGTTGATGGCTAGTCCAACCACTTCAGGCACACCCTTGCAAACGCGGCTGGTTGCTTTTTGAGCCAGCTTGGCCTTGCCCGGCATACACAAGCCTCAATGCAACAACTTTCCTAAAAATGGAGCCCCACAGAGGAAATGAGCAGCAAGCTCAGAAGCAGGGTGTGCACTGCCTTTGGGGCTCCAGTCCATGCCTCAGGGCTTGTATGGGACTGCAGGATTCTTGGTTGCCAAGAGGTAGACCATAGACCAGCCGAGGAGGACTTTATGTTCAAGGGCAGAAAGCAGCCAGGTTTACCACCCAGGGGACTCGGCCTTCTGTGGCCCCGGCCAGACTTAGAATTTGGCTCAAAGCAGGACCAGCTCACTCGGAGTAGTGTGTCAGTAGCTGGGGCCTGTACATGCTAGGCAAGGCTAAGCTGGCTCAAAGAGCAACCAGCTACCACTGCAAGGGTGCTTCTGGAGGAGGTGGAGCAGCCAGCAACCTCAGCTACACAAGGAAGCAGGGATGGCCAGGTTCCCACAGCATGAGTGGCCACCGCCTGATGGCTGATCAAGCAGAGGCCTGAGGAAAAGCAGATGGCAGTTGGGCCCTACCTCTAGGGTAGAAGAACTGATGTACTCTGACTGGTAGTGAGTGAGGTTGGTGGTGGGTCCACCGGCTCCTGGCACACCCTTGCAGAGGAGGCTGTTTGCTCTTTAAGGCAGCTTGGCCTTGCCTGGCATGCACAGGCCCCAGGTACTGACACGCTGCTCCCAGTGAACTTGTTCTGCCTTGGACCAAATTCTAAGTGGCTTGGAGTTTGCCCAGCATGCACAAGCCTCAGTGTAATAACTGTGCAACAAACGGAGCCACATAGACGAAACGAGCAGCAGGCTCAGAAACAGGGTGTGCCCTGCCTTTGGGGCTCCAGTCAATGCCTCATGGTTCCTATGGCACTGCGGGTTTCTTGGTTGCCTAGCTGCAGACCACAGGCTGTCTTGAGGAGGACTTTATGTTCAAGTGCAGAAAGTAGTCAGGATTACCATCCAGGGGACTCTGCCTTCTGTGGTCCTCTCCAGACTTAGAATTTGGCCCAAGGCAGGACAAGCTGACTCGGAGCAGAGTGTCAGTACCTGGGGCCTATGCATGCCAGGCAAGGCCAAGCTGGCTCAGAGCAACCAGCCACCTCTGCAAGGCTGTGCCTGTAGCAGGCGGACAAGCCAGCAACCTCACCCGCTCAAGGAAGCACGGATGGCGAGGTTCCAACAGCATGAGTGGCTGCCACCTGATGCCTGATGGAGCAGAGGCCTGAGGAAAAGCAGGTGGCATATTTAACTCTTTAATCAATCTTAAGTTATTTTTTGTATAAAGCAGATGGCACTAGTCCATGCCTCATGGCTCATATGGCACTGCGGGCCACAGAAGGGCGAGTACCCAGGGTGGTAATCCTGCCTGCTTTCTGCACTTGAACATAAAGTCCTCCTCAAGATGGCCTGTGGTCTGCCTCTTGGCCCCACCTTTAGGGTAGAAGAACTGATGTACCACGTCTGGCAGTGAGTGAGGTTGGCAGCTGGTCCATCTGCTCCTGGCACACCCTTGCAGAGGTGGCTGCTTGCTCTTTGAGCCAGCTTGGCCTTGCCTGGCATGCACAAGCCTCACTGCAACAAGTGTGCTACAAATGGAGCCATATAGAGGAAATGATCAGCAGGCTCAGGAATGGGGCGTGCACTGCCTTTGTGGCTCCAGTCCATGCCTCAGGGCTCGTATGGCACTGTAGGTTTCTTGGTCGCCAACAGGCAGACCACAGGCTTTCTTGAGGAGGACTTTATGTTCAAGTGCAGAAAGCAGCCAAGATTAGCACCCAGGGGACTGGGCCTTCTGTGGCCCTGGCCAGACTTAGAATTTGACCCAAGGCAGGACAAGCTGACTCGGAGCAGAGTGTCAGTACCTGGGGCCTAGGCATGCCAGGAAAGGCCAAGCTGGCTCAGAGCAACTAGCCACATCTGCAAGGCTGTGCCTGTAGTAGGCGGACAAGCCAGCAACCTCAGCTACTCAAGGAAGGAGGGATGGCCAGGTTCCCACAGCCTGAGTGGTTGCCGCCTGATGACTGATAGAGCAGAGGCCTGAGGAAAAGCATATGGCACTGGGGCCCTACCTCTAGGGTAGAATAACTGATGTAACCTGACCAGCAGTGAGTGAGGTTGGTGGCCGGTCCACCGGCTCCTGGCACAACCTTGCAGAGGTGGCTGGTTGCTTTTTGAGCCAGCTTGGCCTTGCCCAGCATGCACAAGTCTGTGCAACAACTGTGACACAAATGGAGCCACACAGAGAAAATGAGCAGCAGGCTCAGGAGCAGGGTGTGTGCTTCCTCGGGGGCTCCAGTCCATGCCTGAGGATTCATATGGCACTGCGGGCTTCTTGGTTGCAAAGAGGTAGACCACAGGCCATCTTCAGGAGGTCTTTATGTGGAAGTGCAGAAAGCAGCCAGGATTACCACCCGTGGGACTCGGCCTTTTGTGGCCCTGGCCTAACAGAATTTGGCCCAAGGCAGGACAAGCTCACTCAGAGCAACATTTCGGTACCCGGAGCCTGTGCATGCTAGGCAAAGCCAAGCTGGCTCAAAGAGCACCCAGAGCATCCATTCTGGTGGAGGAGCCAACCACATGGCCAGCTTCTGGGTGAGGGCACAGTGCCACATCTTCCATCACTTTCTGATATATCCCACCAGCACTGAAGAGACAGCCTGGAGAGAGTGCAAGAGGAAGGCTGAGAAGGATGAGATAGTGAGTGCTGGCTTCTTTCTGACCCTCAGCACATCCCCAGGTGGTGACCATCAACCTTTAGGGGTGGGAGAGCAAGATTGATGGCTTCAAATGCTTCCCAAAGAAGATGGACACAGGCCACTCAGCTCAACCTCACAGCCAATGAGTTGACAAGCAAGCAGATGACAGTGACAGGCTTTTAGAAAGAGCATCAGAAGGTGGCCAGTTTTTCTTCAGCCTCAGCCAGGCCTTGGAAGTTGACTAGGCCATCCACTTCACCAGAGATGCCTTCAAGAACATCAGTAAGCTCCTTGCCGGTCAGTCCAGGAAGGACCTGGACCCAGCCATGGACCTGTTAGTGCTGTCTCAGGGACACAAGACAAACATCCTGGACATCATCCACATACACAAGGAAGCTCTTACCAAAGTCACGGAGAACAGACAACATGTGGCAGAAGGGAAGACAGAGGTGCAGAGGCTGATGGCGTCATTATCACAGGAACAGGATTTCTTTGGCCACTTTGGCTGAAATTCACCACTTCCATCCAATTCACTCAAGTGAGAGACTTGAAATCACAGATGGAGCATTTCTTTCAACAAGAGATACTATTTTTTCAAAAAGTCACCTAAAATTTGATAGTGTTGAATGACTAGCTATTCGAGTGTGGACTTTTTCCAGTTCACGGGTACTTTCTACAGCAGAATGATAACAGTATCAAAGAGCTGGTGCCAGCTATCGGTGGTAGTACAAGGATGACTTTGTGCTCAACTGAAACCCAGCTGAATATAGAATTGTGTAGGGAAGTGTTAATATGGTGATAGAATAGAAACAGTAGCAAATGAACTAAATCATACTATGAATGCCTACACTACCATTATAACTTTTTGAAGAATGATAATACCACTTACTTTATTGCCTTTTGAAGTAGGAATATTTTAGTGGATATCCTATAGATCTGAAACCTTATAAAGAATCCCAAAGAAGCTGGCTGGATAAAGCCTGCTATGGATGTCTTTATACTCAAAGACTGATGAGGCAATTCGAATATGTGTCCCCACCAAATCTCATGTTGAATTATGCTTCCTAATGTTGGAGGTGGATCCTGGTATAAGGTGATTGAATCATGAAGGCAAATTTCTCATGAGTGGTTCAGCACCATCCCCTTGGTACTGTCCTCACAATCATGAGTGACTTCTCGTGAGATCTGGCCACTGAAAACTCTATATCACTCCCTACTCTCCGTGATTTCCTCTTGCCATGTGAGACAATTCACTCTTTCATTACCTTGCACAATGATTGAAAGATTTCTGAGGCCCCCCAGAAGAAGAAGCACTAAGCTTCCTGTCCACTCTGCAGAACCATGAGCCAATTAAACCTCTTTTTCAAGATAAATCTTACCAAAAATGGCAAATGAGGACTGGAGCATTGCTATAAATATACCTGAAAATGTGGAAGCAACTTCGGAACTGGGTAATGGGTAGAGGTTGGAAGAGTTTGGAGGGCTCCAAAGAAGACAGACAGATGAGAACATTTTTGGATCATCTTAGAGACTGGTTAAATGGCTGTGACAAGAATGCTGACAAAAACATGGACAGTGAAGGCCAGGCTGAGGGGGCCTCAGATAAAAATAAGAAGCTTTCTGGAAAATGTCTCTCTTTTGGATATGGAAAGCTTACACAATGCCTGTACCATCATTGTACCTTAGACGCAGTGAACTTGCTTTTTATTTCAGAGACTCGTAGGCAAAAGAGAATGTAGCCTTGACCCAGATGAGACTTTGGACTTTGTAACTTTGAGTTAATGCTGAAATGAGTTAAGACTTTGGGAGACTGCTGGCAAGGCATGACTGTATCTTGCAATGTGAGAAGGACATGAGATTTGTGGGGTCAGGGACAGAATAATACGGTTTTTCTCTATGCCCCTTCCAAAACTCATGTGAAAGTACACTCCCTAATGTTAGAGTCGGGGCCTAGGTGGAAAAAGTTTTAATCATAAAGGGGTGGGAGTGGATCCTTCACAAATGGCAAAGCACCAAGCCCTTAATGCCATCCTCCTGATAGTGAGTGAGTTCTCATGAGATCTAGTAGTTTAAAAGGCTGTGGAACCTCTTTCCTCTCTCTGTCTTGTTCCAACTTCTGCCATATGAAACATGTCATTGCCGCTTGGATTTCCGGCGTGGTTAGGAGGGGCCTGATCAGTGTGGGCCTGGTCAGTGGACCTAGGTCAGTGAGGACTATTTAGTGGGATCATGGTCAGCAGAGGTCTGCTTAGAGAGGGTCTCATTAGTGGGGTCTAGTAGTGGGGGTTTTGGTGAGTGGGGACCTATTGGCTGCCAGTTGTTTGGTGTCTGGTCAGTGCAAACCTGGGCTGTGGGGCTTGATCAGTGGAGACCTGGTCAGCTGGGGCTTAGTGCTGGCCTGGTCAGCATGGGCTGGGGCACTGGTGACCAGGTCAAGGGGTGCTATTCAGTGGAGGACTGGGCACATGGAACCTAGTCAGCAGACCCTGGTGGGCGTGTCCTCATCAGTGAGGCCCTTGTCAGTGGGGCCCTGGTCAGGGCAGCCTTGTCAGTGGGACCTAATCTGTAGTGTCCTAGTCAGAGAGGACTTGGTCAGTGGTGACTTTTGTAGCACCGGTCTACAGGGTGACCTGGTCAGCGGGGATCTCAGCATTTGGTGCCAGTTCAGTGGGGTCTACTCACTAGGGTCCCAGTCAGGGGCATCTGGTGACCTTAGGCCTGGTTATTAGGGGCCTGATCAGTGGCAACCTGTTCCCTGGAGGCCTGGTCAGTGGGGCCTCATCTTTGGGGCCAGGGAATGAGGTCATGATCAGTGGAACCTGATCAGTGAGGCCTTGTCAATAATGACCTACTCAGTGAGGACTTGTCAGTAAGGACTTGGTCCGTGAGGCCTTGTCAGTAAGGTCCTGGTCGGTGGAGTCCTTGTCATTGTGTGCCCGGCAGTGGGGGCCTTGTTAGTGGGGCCTGGTCATGAGGGTCTAATCAGTGAGGGTGTCATCAGGGAGGACCTGATGTGTGGGGTCTGGTCAGCAGGGACCTGGTCAATGTGGGCTGCTGAGCACTGCTTGGATAAGCCAGGTGCAATGTGCATTATTGAAGGCCCTGTGGACAGCTGGGATAGCCCAGTGATGCCCAAGGGCCTAGTCAAAAGTGGACAAAGCACGTGTTTGGATGGACCTGGGAGATCCTGCTCAGAGATTCTGAAAGGACAAAGGTAAAGGAAGAGCCAGAGTGGCTGCAGAGATGGTCACAGTCTATGGGCTGCACAGGATGAAGGAGGCCAGGGAACAGGCAGGGTGGGCAGTTGGGGTTCAGGGAGAGGCAGGTGCATGCTGGGAGGTCAGACCCTGTGAGGGCTTTGGGGGCGTCAGGTTGGGTAGGCTCCAGGCACTCTCACTCACATAGGATTCCAGAACACTGCTACAAGGCTCTGAGTGTTTGTCCCTCACGTAGGATTCCAGAACACTGCTGCCATTGTCTGAATGTTTGTCCCCCACATAGGATTCCAGAAGCCTGCTGCTGGGGTCTGAATGTTTGTCCCCCATCTAGGATTCCAGAACACTGCTGTGAGGGTCTGAATGTCTGTCCCTCACATATGATTCTAGAACAGTGATGCTAGGGTATGTTTGCCCTTAACATATGATTTCAAAACACTGCTCCTGGATTCTGAATGTTTGTCCTTCACATAGGAATACAGAACACTGCTGCTGGAGTCTGGAAGTTTGTCACTCACATAGAATTCCAGAACACTGCTGTGAGGATCTGAATGTTTGACCCTCACATGGGATTCCAGAACACTGCTGCGAGGGTCTAAATGTCTGTCCCTCACATAGGTTTCCCGAACAATGTTACGAGGTTCTGAATGTTTGTCCCTAACATAGGATTTCAGAGCACTCCTGCTGTGCTCTGAATGCTTCTCCCTCACATAGGATTCCAGAACACTGCTACGAGGGTCTGAATGCTTATCCCTCATATAGGATTCCAGAACACTCCTGCTGTGGTCTAAATGTTTGTTCCTCACATAGGATTCCAGAATACTCCTGCCGTGGTCTGAATGTTTGTCCCTCACATAGGATTCCAGAATACTCCTGCCGTAGTCTGAATGTTTGTCCCTCACATAGGATTCCAGAATACTCCTGCCGTGGTCTGAATGTTTGTCCCTCACATAGGATTCCAGAACATTCATGCTGGGGTCTCAATGTTTCCCTTAACATAGGATTTCAGAACACTGCTCTTGGGGTCTGAATGTTTGTCACTCACATAGGATTACAGAACACTGCTGCTGGAGTCTGAATGTTTGTCAGTCACATAGAATTCCAGAACACTGCTACAAGGGTGTGAATATTTCTCCCTCACCTAGTATTCCAGAACACTGTTGCAAGTGTCTGAACGTTGGTCCGTCATATAGGATTCCAGAACACTGCTGCTGTAGTCTGAATGTTTGTCCCTCACATAGAATTCCGGAACACTGCTACAAGGGTCTGAATGTTTGTCCTTCACATACCATTCCAGAACACTGCTGCCGTGGTCTGAATGTATGTCCCTCACATAGGATTCCAGAACACTGCTACTAGGTTCTGAATGTTTTTCCCACACCTAGGATTCCAGAACACTTCTGCTGGTGTCTGAATGGTTGTTCCTCACATATGATTCCAGGACACTGCTATGAGAGTCTTAATGTTTGTCCTTCACGTAGGATTCTAGAACACTGCTCCCGTGGTCTGAATGTTTGTCCTTCACATAGCATTCCAGAACACTGCTGCTGGGGTCTGAATGTCTGCCCCTCAAATCAGATTCCAGAACACTGCTGCTGGGGTTTGAACGTCTTTCCCTCACATAGAATTCCAGAATATGGCTGGGAGGGTCTGAATGTTTGTCCCTCACATGGGATACCAGAACACTGCTGCGAGGGTCTAAATGTCTCTCCCTCACATAAGATTTCAGGACACTGCTACGAGGTTCTGAATGTTTGTCCCTCACATAGGATTCCAGAGCACTCCTGCTGTGGTCTGAATATTTGTCCCTCACATAGGATTCCAGAACACTGCCACGTGGGTCTGAATGTTTGCCCTCACATAGGATTCCAGAACACTCCTGCTGTGGTCGGAATGTTTGACCCTCACATAGGATTCCAGAACATTCCTGCTGTGGTCTGAAAGTTTGCTCACCACATAGGACTCCAGAACACTGCTAAGAGGGTCTGAATGTCCCTCACATTGTATTCCAGAACACTCCTTCTGTGGTCTGAATGTTTGTTCCTCACATAGGATTCGAGAACACTCCTGCTGTGGTCTGAATGTTTGTCCCTTACCTAGGATTCGAGAACATTCACACTGGGATGTAAATGCTTGCCCTTAACATAGGATTTCAGAACACTGCTCCTGGGGTCTGAAAGTTTGTCCCTCACATAGGATTCCAGAACTCTCCTGCTGTGGTCTGAAAGTTTGTACCGTACATAGGATTCCAGAACACTGCTGCTGTGGTCGGAATGTTTTTCTGTCACATAGGATTCCAGAACACTGCAGCTGGGTTCTGAATGTTTGTCCCTCACATAGGATTTCAGAACTCTGCTACGAGGGTCTGATTGTTGGTCCCTCACATAGGATTCCTGAACACTGCTGCTGGGCTCTGAATGTTTGTCCCTCACATTGGATTGCAGAACACTACTGCTATGGTCTGAACGTTTTTCTGTCACATAGGATTCCAGAACGATCCTGCTGTGGTCTGAATGTTTGTCTGTCACATAGGATTCCAGAACACTGCGGCTGGGGTCTGAATGTCCCTGACATAGGATTCCAGAACATTGCTATGAGAGTCTGAATGGTTGTCTTTCACATAGCATTCCAGAACACTGCTACGAGGGTCTGAATGTTGGTCCCTCACACAGGATTCCAGAACCCTCCTGCTGAGGTCTGAATATTTGTCCCTCACATAGGATTCCAGAACACTCCTGCTGTGGTCTGAATGGTTGTCCCTCACAAAGGATTCCAGAACACTCCTGCTGTGATCTGAATGGTTGTCCCTCACATAAGATTCCGGAACACTTCTGCTGTGGTACGAATGTTTGTGTCTCACGTAGGATTCCAGAACACTGCTACGAGGGTCTCAATGTTTGTCCCTCACATAAGATTCCAGAACACTGCTGCTGGGGTCTGAATGCTTGTCCCTCACATACGATTACAGAACAGTGTTGCTGGGGTGTGAATGTTTGTCCCTCACATGGTATTCCAGACCACTGCTGCTGGGGTCTCAATGTCTGTCCCTCAAAAAAGGATTCCAGAACACTGTTACGAGGGTCTGAATTTTTGTTCCTCACTTAAGACTGCAGAACACTGCTTCGAGGGTCTAAATGTCTGTCCTTCACATAGGATTCCAGAACACTGCTACGAGGGTGTGAATGTTTGTCCTTCACATAGCATTTCAGAACTGCCATGGTCTGAATGGTTGTCCCTCACATAGTATTCCAGAAAACTGCTATGAGGGTCTGAATGTTTGTACCTCACATAGGATTCCAGAACACTGCTATGAGGGTCTGAATGTTTGTACCTCACATAGGATTCCAGAACACTGCTATGAGTGTTTGAAAGTTTGTCCCTCACATAGGATTCCAGAAGACTGCTGCTGGGGTCTGAATGTCTGTCCCTCACATCGGATTCCAGAACCCTGCTGCTGGGGTTTGAATGTCTGTCCCTCACATAGAATTCCAGAAGACTGCTGGGAGGGTCTGAATGTTTGTCCCTCACATACGATTCCAGAACACTGCTACGAGGTTCTGAATGTTTTTCCCTCACATAGGATTCCAGAACACTGCTACGAGGGTCTGAATGTTTGTCCTTTACATAGGATTCCAGAACACTCCTTCTGGGGTCTGAATGTTTGTCCCTCACATAGGATTCCAGAGCACTCCTGCTGTGGTCTCAATGTTTTTTTAATCACATAGGATTCCAGAACACTTCTACAAGGGTCTGAATGTTTGTCCCTCACATAGGATTCCAGAATACTCCTGCTATGGTCTTAATGCTTGTCCCTCACATAGGATTCCAGAACATTCATGTTGGGGTCTGAATGTTTGCCCTTATAGGATTTCAGAACAGTGTTCCTGGGGTCTGAATGTTTGTCCTTCATATAGGATTTAAGAACACTCCTGCTTTGGTCTGAAAGTTTGTCCCTCACATAGGATTCCAGAACTCTCCTGCTGTGGTCTGAAAGTTTGTCCTTCACGTAGGATTCCAGAACACTGCTGCTGTGGTTTGAATGTTTGTCCCTCACATAAGATTCCAGAACACTGCTAGGAGGGTCTGAATGTTTGTCCCTCACATAGGATTCCTGAACAGTGCTACGAGGGTCTGAATGTTTGTCCCTCACATAGGATTCCAGAACACTTCTGCTGGTGTCTGAATGTTTGTACCTCACATAGGATTCCAGAACACTGCTGCTGGGGTCTGAACGTCTGTCCCTCACATAGGATTCTAGAACACTGCTGTTGGGGTTTGAATGTCTGTCCCTCACATAGAATTCCAGAACACTGCTGCGAGTGTCTGAATGTTTGTCCCGCAGATGGGATTCTAGAACACTGCTGCGAGGGTCTAAATGTCTGTCCCTGACATAACATCCCAGCACACTGCTACAAGGTTTTGAAATGTTTGTCCCTCACATAGGATTACAGAGCACTCCTGCTGTGGTCTGAATGTTTTTCCCTCACATAGGATTCCAGAACACTCCTGCTGTGGTCTGAATGTTTGCCCCTCACATAGGATTCCAGAACATTCCTGCTGTGGTCTGATTGTTCCTCATATAGGATTCCAGAACACTGCTACAAGGTTCTGAATTTTTGCCCCTCACATAAGATTGCAGAACACTGCTACAAGGGTTTGAAAGTTTTCCCCTCACATAGGATTCCACAACACTACTGCTGGGGTCTGAATGTTTGTCCCTCACATAGGATTCCCGAGCACTCCTGTTGTGGTCTGAATGTTTTTCCCTCACATAGGATTCCTGAAGACTGCTGCTGTCACTATAGTCGTTGCGAGTGTCTGAATGTTTGACCTTCACCAAACACTAAATATTCTGCCCCTTTAGTCTTGGACTTTCCAGCCTCCAGATCTGTGAGCAATAATCTCTGTTGTTTATGAATTACTCAGTCTAAAGTATTTTGTTATAGTAGCCTAAAGAGATTAAGAGAGCATCACCTGCCCTGTCACCTCATCACCGCATTACTAAAGCTATACTAACAGCAGTCACCTTTAGTGAGTGCTTCATGCATGAGAATAAAGGGAAAAAATTGCAAGGCATACTAAAATACAAAAAAAGAAAAAAATACAATTTGTGTCAACAGAGCAAGCTTCAGAAGCAGACAAAGATATGATTTTGGAATTTTTTTTAAACCTCTGGAGAATATGCTAAGGGTCTAATGAATGAAGTAGACAGCATTCAAGTGTAGATGGGTAATGTAATCAGAAAGACAGACATCGTAAGAACCTTCAACATAATGTAGTGGTAAAAAATGTGGTAAATAACTGAAGAATACCTCTGATGGCTTATTAGTAGACTGGACTCAGCTGAGTAAAGAATCTCTGAGCTTGAGGATTTATCATCAGAAACTTCAAAAACTAAAGAAAAGAAACACTGAAAAGAACAGAAGATGATATCCAAGACTGTGGGACAACTACAAAAGGTGCAACAGAGTAATGAGAATACCAGGAGGAGAAAAAATAGAAGAAAGTTCTGCAACAACCATGTCTGAGAACTTCCAGTATTAATGTCAGACACCAAACCAAAGATCCAGGAAGCTCAGAGACCACCAGGCAGAATAAATGCCAACAACCTACACTTGGACATATAATTTTCAAACTATATGAAATAAAAGATAAAGGAAAACTCTGAAAGAAACCAGAGGTGGGGCAGAAAACACCTTACCTACAGAGACACAAAGATAAGAACTGCATTCAACATTGCAGAAACTGTGAAAGCAAGAAGACAGTGAAATGAAAAATTCAAAATGTTGACAGAAAAAAACCCACCAACCTAAGTTTCTGTACCCACTGAAACCACCCTTCAAAAGTGAAGGAGAATTAAGGCCTTCCTCAGAAAAATACAAATTCAAGAAACTTGTTGCCAGGAGACCTGTCTTGCAAGAAATGTTAAATGAAATTCTTTAGAGGGAAACAAAAGATATATAACTGAAACCTGGATCAACATTTTTTTAAAAAGAGCATTAAAGAATTGTGGTACAATAAAAACCTATGTATTTATTCTTAATTGATCTGACCAAGAAGTTCATAGACAATAACAAATACACACAGATAGATTATGTATGCTTATACACAATTGAAATGAGTGACACTAATACAAGGAATGGAATGGAAGGATGGGAGGGAGGAATTGTGGTACAATAAAAACATGTATTTATTCATAATTGATCTGACCAATAAGTTTGTAGATAATAATAAATACACACAGATAGATTATGTGTGCTTATACACAAGTGAAATAAGGAACAATAATACAAGGAATGGAATGGAAGGATGGGAGGGAGGAATCAGGTGTTTTCTTTGTTAAGCAGGTAGTCACCCATGAAGTGGGATAGTGTTATCTGAAAGTGGACTTGAATTGGTTGTAAATGTATATTGAGGAATTAGGTGTGTTCTTTGTTAAGCAGGTAGTCTTATTTGTGGGATAGTGGGATAGTGTTATTTGAAAGTGGACTTGAATTTGTTGTAAATGTTACTGAGGAATTAGGTGTTTTGTTAAGCAGGTAGTCTTATTCGTGGGATAGTGGGATAGTGTTATTTGAAAGTGGACTTGAATTGGTTGTAAATGTATATTGCAAATTCTGTGGCAACTACTTAAAAAAAAGTTTTAAAAAGAGAAGGACATGCTAAGAAAGACAGGGAAAATGTAGTCATCTAAAATCATCAATGAAAACTGCAAAAGGCAGAAAAAGAGTGGTAGACAAAAGAATGGAGACTGAGGAGAATGAATAGAAAACAGTAACAAATATAGTAGATATTAATCCAATGATATCAATAATCACTTTGAATGCTAATGGTATGAATGTACCAATTCAAAGATAGAGATTGTCAGAGTCTATCAAAACACAGACACATCTTGTTTCACTGCACTTTGCTTTATTGTGTTTTGTGACCATGTGTTTTACATATTGAAGGTTTGTGGCCACCCTGCAATAAGCAGGTCTGACTGGCACCATTGTTCCTACAGCACGTGCTCACTTCACGTCTCTGTGTCACATTTCGGTCATTCTCACAGTATTTTAAGCTTTTTATTATTGAATCTGTTATAGTGATCTGTAATCAGTGATCTTTAATGCTACTGTTGTCATTGTTTTGGGAACCACAAATCACACCAGGATAAGACAGCAAACAATTGACAAATACGTTTGTTCTGACTGCCCCACCAATGGGCCATTTCTCTTTCTCTCTCTTTTTCTCAGGCTTCTTTTAATTAATATTAAAATTTGGCCAATTAATAACCCTACAATAGCCTCTGTATGTTCAAGTGAAAGAAGAGTTGCATGTCTGTCACTTTAAACCAAAAGGAAGAAATAATTAAGCTTAGTGATTAAGGCATGCTGTAAGCAAGACAGGCCAGTAGCTAGACCTCATGCAACAAACACTTAGCCAAGTTGTGAATGCAAAGGAAGTGTTCTGGAAAGAAATTTAAAGTACTACTCCAGTGAATACATGAATGATAAAAAGCTAAACAATCTTGCTGCTGTTATGGAGAAAGTTTAATTGGTCTAGATAGAAGATAAAAAAACAAAAAAAAATTCCATTAAGCCTAAGCCTAACTCTCTTTTTACTTTTTTTCTTTGTTTTTGAGACAGAGATTCATTCTTCTTGCCCAAGCTGGAGTACAATGGCGTGATCTTGGCTCATCGCAACCTCTGCCTCCCAAGTTCAAGCCATTCTCCTGCCTCAGCATCCCGAGTAGCTGGGATTACAGGCATGCACCACCACGCCTGGCTAATTTTTTGTATTTTTAGTAGAGACGGGGTTTCTCCACGTTGGTCAGACTGGTGTCGAACTCCTGACCTCAGGTGATCTGCCCGCCTCGGCCTCCCAAAGTGCTAGGATTACAGGTGTGACAGCCACAGCACCCGGCCTCCCTTCAATTCTATGAAGACTTAGAGAGGTGAGGCAGCTGCAGAAGAAAAGTCTGAAGCTAGAAGAGCTTGTTTCTTGAGGTTTAAGGAAAAAAGTCATCTCCATAACATAAAAGCGCAAGATAAAGCAGCAAGTACTGATGGAAAAGCTGCAGAAAGCTATCTAGAAGATAATTGATTAAGATGGCTACACTAAACAGATTTGCAGTGGAGACAAAACAGCCTTCTACTAGAAGGAGATGCCATCCAGGATGTTCCCAGCTAGAGAGGAGTTGATGCCTGGATTTAAGGCTTCAAAGGACATGCTGACTCTTTTGTTAAGGCCTAATACAGTTGGTGATGTTAACTTGAAACCAATGATGATTTACTATTCTGAAAATCCAAGGGCCCTGAAGAATTACGATAAAACACAGCTCTGCCTGTACTCTACAAATGGGAAGAAAGCCTGGATGACAGACTATCGGTTTACAAATATGGTTTATTGAATATCTTAAGCCCACTGTCGACAACTACTGCTCAAGAAATAAGATTCCTTTCAAAGTATTACCACTCACTGACAATGCCCCTGGTACTCAAGGGCTTTTACAGAGATGTATAAAGAGCTGAATATTGTTTTCATGCCTACTAACCCAACATTCATTCTGGTGCCCTTGGATCAAAGAATAATTTCAAATTTCAAGTCTTATCACTTAAAAAATATATTTCATAAAGCTATAGCTTCTCTAGAAAGTGATTCCTTTGATGGATCTGGGCAAAATAATTGAAAACCTACTGGAAAGGATTCACCATTCTAGATGCCATTGAGAACATTCATGATTTAAAAAAAAGAAGATCAAAATAGCAACATTAGGAGAAGTTGGGGCTGGGCTTGGTGGCTCACGCCTGTAATCCCAGCACTTTGGGAGGCCAAGGCACGTGGATCATGAGGTCAGGAATTTGAGACCAGCCTGGCCAACATAGTGAAATCCTGTCTATACTATAAACAACAAAAAAATTAGCTGGGCCTGGTCGGGGGTGACTGTAATCCCAAACACTTGGGAGGCTGAGGCAGGAGAATTGTTTGAACACGGGAGGTGGAGGTTGCAGTGAGCTGAGATCGCATCACTGCACTCCAGCCCAGGCAAGACTTCATCTCAAAAAAATAAAAGAGAGAGAGAGAGAAGTTGGGAAGATTATTCCAACCCTCACTGATGACACAGGGGTTCACGACTTCTGTGGAGGAAGTAACTGCAGATATGGTGGAAATAACAAGAGCACTAGAATCAGAGACAGAGCCTGAAGATCTGGCGAGACTGCAGCAGCCTGTGGAGAAAACGTGAGAGGATGAGTTGCTTCCACGGATGAGCAAAGAAAGTGGTTTCTTGAGATGAAATCTACTCGTGGTGAAGACAGTGTAAACAATGTTGAGATGACAACAGATTTAAAATAAACTTGGTACAGCAGAAGGAAGGCTTGACAGGATTGAGCCCAATGATTTACGATAATACATAAACTTAGTTGGTACAGCAGTATGAAGGTTTGACAGCATTGAATTCAATTTTGAAAGTTCTACTGTGGGTAAAAAGCTATCATCGTATGCTACAGTTAATTCTTTTGTGAAAGGGAGAGTCACTTGACACAGCAAACTTCAACGTTGTCTTATTTTAAGAAATTGCCACAGCCACCCCAACGCTCAGCAACCACCACCTTACATTAACGTAAGACCCTCCATCAGTAAGAAGACTGAAACTTGGCCAGGTGCAGTGGCTCACACCTGTCATCCCAACACCTTGGGAGGCCAAGGTGGGTGGATTGCTTGAGCCCAGGACGTCAAGGCAACATAGCAAAACCCCATCTCTACAAAGAAAAAAATACAAAAATTAGCTGGACACGGTGGCATGCACCTGTAGTCCCAGCTAGTCAGGAGTCTGAGGTGGGGGTTTGATTGAGCATGAGGTTGAGGTTGCAATTACTCCAGCCTGAGCCACAGAGTAAAACCCTGTCACACACACACAAAAAGATTGCAGCTTTCTGAAGGCTCAGATGACTGTTAGCACTTGTTAACAATAAAGTATTTGTAAATTAAAGTGTGCATACTTTGTAGACATATGTTATTGCACACTTTATACAGCACAGTATAAACATACTTTTACATGCACTGGGAAACCAAAAGAAATTGTATAACACTTTATTGCAGTGGTCTGGAACCAAACCCACATATATCTCTGATGCATGGCCGTCCTGTATTGTACACTTAAAAAAATACTTAAGAGGGTATATCTTAGGTGAAATGGTCATCTCATTTTTTTTTTTTTTTTTTTGAGACGGAGTCATACTCTGTTGCCCAGGCTGGAGTGCAGTGGCACGATCTCGGCTCACTGCAAGCTCTGCCTCCCGAGTTCACACCATTATCCTGCCTCAGTCTCCTGAGTAGCTGGGACTACAGGTGCCCGCCATCACGCCTGGCTAATTTTCTGTATTTTTAGTAGAAACGGGGTTTCACTGAGTTAGCCAGGATGATCTTGATCTCCTGACCTCGTGATCCACCTGCCTTGGCCTCCCAAAGTGCTGGGATTACAGGCGTGAGCCACCACTCCCGGTCTCATTTTTTAAAAAGGGTGAGAATGAGAAATATATGGGGGGTGATGGTCAAGTTTACGGTATTATTTGTTGTGATGAGTCCTGAGGCGAATATTTATCTCTATACTCATTAAGATGTATATATTCGGTGTCACACGCCTGTAATCCCAGCACTTTGGGAGGCCGAGGCAGGTGGATCATCTGAGGTCAGGCGTTCGAGCCCAGCCTGGCCAACATGGTGAAACTCTGTCTCTACTAAAAAAATACAAAAATTAGCCGGGCGTGGGGGCGCACGCCTGTGATCCCAGCTACTCAGGAGGCTGAGGCAGGAGAATTGCTTGAACCTGGGAGGCGGAGGTGGCAGTTAGCTGAGATCGTGTCACTGCACTCCAGCCTGGGCAACATGAGTAAAACCTCCATAACACACACACACACACACACACACACACAAGGTATATATTAAATATGTGTAATTTTTGTATGTCAACCACACCTTAGTTTTACTTTATTTTATTTTTTTGAGACAGAGTCTCACTCTGTCACCCAGGCTGGAGTCCAGTGGTGCAATCTTGGCTCACTGCAAGCTCCACCTCCCAGGTTCACACCATTCTCCTGCCTCAAACTCCAGAGGAGCTGGAACTACAGGCACCTGCCACCACGCCCGGCTAATTTTTTGTATTTTTAGTAGAGATGGCGTTTCACAGTGTTAGCCCGGATGGTCTTGATCTCCTGACGTGATCTGCCTGCCTCAGCTTCCCAAAGTGCTGCGATTACAGGTGTGAGCCACCGTGCCAGACAATTTTTATTTTTTTGAGACAGAGCCTCACTCTGTCACCCAGGCTGGAGTGCAGTGGCACTATCTTGGCTCACTGCAACCTCGCCTCCCATGTTCAAGCAATTCTCCTGACTCAGTCTCCCGAGTAGCTGGGACTACAGATGCATGCTATCAAGCCTGGCTAATTTTTTGATTTTTAATAGAGATGAAGTTTCACCATGTTGGCCAGGCTGGTCTCAAACTCCTGACCTCATGTGATCTGCCCACCTCAGCCTCCCAAAGTGCTGGGATTACAGGTGTAAGCCACTGCACCTGGCAATTTTTAAATATATATAATTAAAAATTAATAAAAAACAGGTATTTGCAAGTTTCCATTTTGTTATATGCTTATTATTCTTTATCTTTATGTCAGGTTGCTGTGTCAATACACTTAGGAGATCATAGTTTCTAAATTGAAATACAAATAAATATGTCTGAAATTTTTTCTTTTTTCTTTTTTTTTGAGACGGACTCTCATTCTGTCACCCAGGCTGGAGTGCAGTGGTGCAATCTCAGCTCACTGCAACATCCACCTCCCAGATTCAAGTGATTCTCCTGCCTCAGCCTCCAGAGTAGCTGGGATTACAGGCACCCGCCATGACACCCAGCTAACTTTTATATATTTTTTTCTATTTTTAGTAAAGACAGGGTTTCACCATGTTGGCCAGGGTGGTCTCCAACTCCTGACCTCAGATGATCCTCCCGCCTCGACCTCCTCAAGTGCTGGGATTACAGGTGTGAGCCACTGTGCCTGGCCTGGAATTTTTTTCTAAAATTTACATTTCTGAGTTAAGAATGCTTAAAATATTATTAAAACAGAAGCACAATTCATTATGTGTTTCATTAATTACCTTTATTAAAAACAACACAATTATATTACAATAGGACAAAAAATGTTTAAGCAAATGAAAACGAAACCATGACATACCCAAACTCAGGAGGAGGCAACAAAGGCAGTGCTAAAGGGAAGCTTACAGCTGCAGATGCTTAAATTAAAAAGAAGAAAGATCTCAAACCCATGCTAAAGGGAAGCTTACAGCTGCAGATGCTTAAATTAAAAAGAAGAAATATCTCAAACCCTTGCTAAAGGGAAGCTTATAGCTGCAGGTGCTTAAATTAAAAAGAAGAAAGATCTCAAATCAATAACCTAACATTACACCTGAAGGGGGGAAAAAAAAACTAATGACAAACCAAGCAAAAGGAAGAAAATAACAGATTAGAGCAGAGATAAGCAGAATAAGACCAGAAAAAAAAGGAAAAAAAACAATGAGTTTGTTTTTTTAAAGATCAATAAAAATTTTAAAACTCACAGCTATATTAAGAAAAAAGAGAAATCTCAAATACTAAAATCATGAATAAAATAGGTGACAGTACAACAGATGCCACAGAAATGAAAAAGATTACAAGAGACTAATGTGAGCAACCATATGCCACAAAACTGGGCAACCTAGAATAAATTTATAAATTCCTAGAAACACAAACCACCATACTGCATCACGGAGAAATAAAAAATCCAAAGAGACTTGTAACTAGTAAGAAGATTCAACCAGTAATCAAAAACCCCACCAAAAAGAAAATTCCAGGTCCAGATAACTTCACTGGAAAATTTTACCAAACATTTCAAGAAGAATTAATGCCAATCCTCTGCAAAATATTCCAAAAATGTTCAAAAACCAGAAGGGAACATTCCAATCCATTCTATCAGGTCAACATTTATCTGGTTCCAGAGCCAGATGAACACCTTTTGTAATAAAAACACTCAAAGAATTAGTAATATATGGAAACTCCTCAGTAAATAAAGATTATACATGAAAAGCTCACAGCTAACATCATACTCAATGGTGAAAGACTAAAATCTTTTCCTCTAGGATCAGGAATAAGATAGCAACATCTCTTCCTGCCACGTCTATTCATCACAGTACTGGAATTTCTACTCAGAATAATGAGTCAAGAGAAAGTAATAAAAAGGATGCAAATTGGAAAAGAAAAAGTACAAAATTTTGTTCACAGACAACAGGATGTAATGGGTAAAAATCCTGAAATTCCCAAAATATTGGTAAAATAATGAAATTCAACAAAGTTTCAGGATACAGTAACACACACAAGTCAGTTGCATTTCCATAAACTAACAATGAACAATCTGCAAATAAAATTTTAAAAAGAGAGGCCAGGTGCAGTGGCTCACACTTATAATCTCAGCACTTTGGGAGGCCAAGGCGGGTAGACCACCTGAGGTCAGGAGTTCGTGACCAGCTGGGCCAAACCCATCTCTAAAATAAATAGTAAAACTCTGTCTCTATTAAAAATACAAAAATTAGCTGGACGTAGTGGCAGACACCTGTAGTCCCAGCTACATGGGAGGCTGAAGCAGGAGAATTGCTTGAACTTGGAAGGTGGAGGTTGCAGTCAGCTGAGATTGTGCCACTGCGCTCCAGCTTAGGAAACTGAGACGCCATCTCAAAGAAAAGAAAGAAAGGAAAGAAAGAGAGAGAAAGAAAAAAAAGAAAGATAAAACAAAAGAAAAGAAATTTTTAAAAAGAATGACATTTGGCCGGGTGCAGTGGTTCATGCCTGCAATCCCAGCAGTTTGGGAGGCTGAGGCGGGCAGATCACCTGAGGTCACAAGTTCAAGACTTACCTTGTCAACATGGAGAAACCCTGTCTCAACTAAAAATACCAAAAAATTAGCTGGGCGTGCTGGCGCGCACCTGTGATCCCAGGTACTTGAGAGGCTGCGGTTGGAGAATCGCTTGAATAAAGAAGGCGCAGGTTGCAGTGAGCTGAGATAGTGCCACTGCACTCCAGCCTGGGAGACAGAGCAAGACTCCATCTCAAAAAAAAAAAAAAGTATTACATTTACAACAGCATTATAAAAATTAAAAATAAGCTTAACCAAAAGGGCAAAAGATTTGAACACAGAAAACTATAAAACACTGTTGAAAGAAATTAAACACAAATAAATGAAAAGAAAAGGTGGGTTTGCAGATTAGATGATTTCATCTTGGAATGATGTCAACACTACTCGAAGTGACCTAGGTTCAATACAATCCTTATAAAGATTCCAATGACATTTTTGATAAACAGAAAAACCTATCCTAAAATTCATATGGAATCTCCAGGGCCCATGAATAGGCAAATCAATCTTGAAGCAGAACAAAATTAAAGGTCTCAAAACAATTACAAAACTGCAATAAGCCAAAAAAAAAGTGGTCATGGCGTAAAGACATACTTGACACACTTATGGACCAACACAACAGAGACCTCAGAAACCAACCCTGGCATATATGGTCTGATGATCTTCCACAAGGATGCCAAGACCACTCAATGGCGAAGGACAGTTTCTTCAACAAATGGTGTTGGGAAAATTGTATATCTACATGCAAAATAATGAAGTTGGACTCTTACCTTACACCACGTTAAAATTAATTCAAAGTGAATTATAAACCCAAAAGTAAAACTAGAACTATCAAACTCCTAGGGAAAACAAATTTGGAAAATGCTTTATGATGATGAATTTGTCAATAATTTTTAGGATATGACATTAAAAGCTCAGGCAGTAAAAGCAAAAATATATCAAACCTAAAAACTTCTGTACCACAAAGGTCACAACCAACAGGGTAAAAGGCAAACTGTAGAATAAAAGAAAATACCAGTTGAGTGTCCCTTATTTGAAATGCTTGGGATGTGTTTCAGATTTTGTAATATTTGCATTATTCTTACTGGTTGAGCATCTCGAATTCAAACACCTGAGTCTGCGATGCTCCAATAAGCATTTCCTTTGAGTGTCATGTTGGCACTCAAAAAGTTTCAGACTTTGGAGCATTTGGGATTTCAGATTTTTGGATCAGAGACATTCAACCTATAGTTGCACATCATGTATCTCATAAGAAGTGAACATTCAGAATACGTAAAGTACTCCTACAGAGAGACTACCAGAAGCAGAGAGGAGCAAACACATTTTCACACTAGAGCACCTCCTATCTCTCCCGGATTCCAATTAGGGCAGAGTAAGTGCTAGTTATCTGCCAACCCAGGATTAGGCCCTGCAGCTGCAGTGAAAATAATCACAGAAGAAAACTAAGAAATAAAAAATGGAGAAAGTGAGACATCAAACTAAAATTACTAGAAACCCCCAGGAAGAAGGAAAAAGAAACCAAGAAAACAGAAAAACAATTAAACCAGTTAATTAAACCTTGGCATGACCAGAAGATCAGAGTTTCCTAAAGGAGTGGAAATTTATTGATTTGAAGAGGATTTATTGATTACTGATTTGAAGAGGAAGAAAAACCATGAATGGTCTGAAGCAAAAGCCTAGTGTCTGAAGAAGTCAGTAGGGTGAAAACAAGAGCTGGCCAGAATATCCACAGATGGTGACAAGTTGGCAAAGCCTTTACTAGACTACTCGTGAGGCTAACTAGAGGCCAAGGAGCCAACACTGCTCCTGTCCTTACAGAGAGACCCTACACAGGATTCCCAGATATACATGGAAGGACAACATCTTATCAGGTCCTCTCTGTGCAGATGTGGTTATCATTCCAAATAATGAGCTCCAGCCCCAAGACTGTTCCATCCTCAATTGCTTTGAGTGGGCAATGTAGGCTCTCCACACACGAGCTACGTGTAGGTTCCTTGGGTACCCAGATGGGAGCCATGAAACACAAACCCTCCATGGTCAGGTCTGTATTTGTTTCCTGCCTTTTTCCCAGCAATCCCCAGGCCCCAGCAGTGGTGGTCTACCTCTGCTGATTCTCATTCAGAATCTAAACTTAGAAACAATTATAACCTAGACCCCAATTCTACCTGAAAGTAACAGAATAACATAATCTATACCCTGCAGCATGACTGTTTGCCCAACGTAATGAGGATGAACTGAGAGATAATGAACCATCATGACCCTGGCCCAAGTAATGAGAATGAACTGTGAGATAAATGAATGATCATGACAAAAACCCCGCTACAACCCAACAACAAAATAAAATGATTAAAAAATGGACAAACAACATTTATCCAAAGATGCAAAGATGATATACAAATAGCCAACAGATACATGAGATATATGAGAAGATGTGTAACATCACTAGTCATTAGAGAAATGCAAAAAGAAACCACAATGGGACATCACTTCAAACCCAACAGAAAGTAACAAGCGCAGGTGAAACTGTAACCCTTGAACACTGTTGGTGGAAATATGAACTGGCTCCTCAAAAAAAATAAAATAAAATGACCATATGATCCAGCCATCCAACTATTACAGAGACAGAATAACTAGTAGCAGGACCTCAAACAGATATGTGCACACCTAAGTTCACAGCAGCATTACACAGCCACAAGGTGGAAGAAACCAAAACGTCCGTCCAGAAATAGGTGGATAAACAAAAGCATATATATATACATGATATATATATATATATTATATATGTAATATATATATAATATATATATGAAGAAATATTATTCAGCCATAGAAAGGAAGAAAATCGTGACACATCTGACACATAACATGGAACCTACTTACAAAACAACAAATATTATATAACCCTAGGTATATAAGCCAAATTTTTAGAAACACAAAGTAGAATAGTACTTGCCAGGAGGTGGAAGGAGGGGGAAATTAATAGTTGTTGAATGGGTATAGAATTTTCCAAGATAAAAAAAAAATCTAGAAATCTGCTACACAGCACCGTAAATATTCTTAACTCTACAAAACTGTATACCTACAACTGGTTACGATGGTAAATTTTAAGGTATGTGTTTGTTACGAAAATTCTAAATAATAAATTATTTATAAAAAATGATCTTTTTTGACACAGGGTCTTACTCTGTTGCCCTGGCAGGAGTGCAATGGCATGATCACAGCTCATTGCAGCCTCAACCTCCCAGGCTCAAGCAACCCTCCCATCTCAGCCTCCCGAATAGTTGGGACTACAGGTGCACACCAAGATGTCAGGCTAAATTTTGGTTTGGTTTTTTTGTAGAGAGGGTTTTGCCATGATGCCCAGGCTGGTCTCAACCTCCTGGGCTCAAGCAATCCACCTCCCTTGGCCTCCCACAGAGCTGAGATTACGAGCATAAGCCACCATGCCCAGCCTATAAAAAATTATTTCAAAAAGCCAAAATATTAATCAAACTGGAATATTTAGAAATATTTAACCCAAAAGAAGTTAGGAAAGAATATATAGAAGATCAAAACACAGACGAAGGCCAGACATGGTGGCTCATGCCTGTCATCCAAACACTTTGGGAGGCCAAGGTGGGTAGATTGCTTGAGCTCAGGAGTTCAAGACCAGCCTGTGCAACATGGCAAAACCCTATCTCTACAAAAAATATAAAAATTAGCCAGGTGTGTTTCCATGTGCCTGTAGTCCCAGCTACTCAGTGGGCTCCAGTGAGGATTGGTTGGGCCTGGGAGGCAGAGGTTGCAGTGAGCCAACATTGCACCATTGCACTACAGTCTCAGTGACAGAGCAAGACCCTGTCTTAAAAAAAAAAAAAAAAAAACAAATAGAAAATAAGTAGAAAAATGGCAGACCTAAATCCAACCTTAGCAATGATTAGTTACAATGTAACTGGACAAATACTCTACTTAAGACAGAGACTGCCAGACCTGAGAGGAAAGCAAGACCCAACAATATGGCATCCACAGAGACACAATTTAAATACAAAGACACAAAGTATGAGAAAAAATATGCTATGCAGACACTAATCATAAAAATATGCTATCCAGACACTAATCATAAAAAGCTTCAACAGAGACGTTAACACTAGATGAAAGAGGCTCCAGAACAAAATATATCACCAGAAATAAAAAAGGTAATTTCATAAAAATAAAAGAATCAGAGAGGGTGATGTTACAATTATAAATTGTGCCTCAAAGTGCACACAAAGTACTCTCACACACAGAGCCTCAAATTATGTGAATCAAAAACAACAGAACAAAAGCAGGAAATTGACAATCCAAAATTATAGCTGGTGAATTAATACTGCTCTCTCAGTAACTGACGGAACAACCAGATAAAAATATAGGAAAAATACGGATCTAAATGACAAAATCCTGACCCAAATGGTACTTGGCAGTACCAAGATAGACTGTATGTTGATCAATTGAGAAAATGTTCAAGCATGACATAGTATACAAAGTATGTTGTCTGAACACCTGAAATTAAATTAGAAACCAACAACAAATTGATATCCAGAAAAGCCTCAAATGTCTGAAAACCAAGTAATAAACTTTGAAATACCCTGTGAGTCAAAAAAGTATTCACAAGGGGAACTGGAATGTATTTGGAACAAACTTGTTATAAAAATCATATTTCTGGTAGACTAAAGGTGACAACTTCTTTCCTGCTCCTCTCTCTGTGAGAACCAATTCCCCTTAAACCTTGCCCAGACTACTAACTTGCTTGGCCAACAGAAGGTGACAAAGGTGGTATTTGGGGACTTCAGAAGCCAGGCTGAGAAAACAGAACACTTATCCAGGAGAAAGCCAGTCACCAGGCAGGAAATCCCACTCCCCTGAGACCTCATGATGGAAACCACATGGCCAGTCCGTGACTAGCTACACACATTGACATCCCCCACTGACCCTCCAGCAACACCGACTCCCAACCACTAGTGAGCCTTCAGCAACATCCACTCCCAACCACTAGTGAGCCACCCTGCACACCACCCCACTGTGCTTTCACACAATCCAGCTTGGCTGCAACTGTGTGTGAGATGAGCTGGCCACCAAGACTCTCTAAGCCAAAAAACAGGTAATAATGAGTTGTTTTAAGCTGCCAAGTTTTGGGGATGGTTTCTTCAGAATAGATAACTGGAACAGAATATGGTAGCTGGAAATGAGCCGCTGTGGTAATCAGAAGCTACAATATGTGCCACGACTGTGAGGCTGACCTGTAACTGGGCCTCAAGGAGACCATTCATGCAACCTGGAAGGGCATCAAGACTCTTGGTCAGTGCCTGAAGGACGGTGAGAAAATGTCATTGGAAAGTGGGGAAAAGGCCTGAGAGTTATGTGCTGAGGGACTGTGAGAAAACTACAGCCACAACATGGAAACCGAAAGGGCACTGCACCATCTCAGGGATCTGCCTAAGGAGACATCTGGGAAGAACATGGAAAGTGCTACCAGCCTACCCTAACTGTCATTGAATAAATATGACAGGAGAGGGACATGATCTAAAGAAGGAAGTTCACTTTTCAAACAAAATTTAGAGAAAATATAAAGAAATAATTTCTTGTCTCAAAAGGCCAAAGAAAAAAAAAAAGAAAAGGAAAAAAATTAAAAAGAAGCCATTGAATACCCTATTGACCATAAGAAAAAGGCAGAGAAAGTTGGTCAACGGCAACCCAGGCACTGAAGGAAAAAGAACATGGAGAATGACAAAAGCCCAGAGGCAGGAGTAAAAGGACACAAACGCCGTTCTCAGGGACAAGGACTGGGCGCCATTCTCAGGGACCCGTACTGGGCACTAATCACAGAACTGTAACAGGCGCCCCATGGGAATGACCAGCTGTTAGACGGGGCCTGCAGGGCAGCACCTCCCTCCTGCCTCCCACCAACAGCTTCTAAAGGGAAATGCTGACTGTTTTCACACCAGTCCCCTCACTGCGGCTGAGTGTGTGGGCACAGATGATAGGTCACAACAACCTGATTCAGTCCCCACTGTGGCTGTGTGTGGGGGGGCAGATGACAGGCCACCATAACTTGATTCAGTCCTCACTGCGGCTGAGTGTGTGTGGGTGCAGATGACAGGCCACCACAACCTGATTCAGGATTCAGTTGGGCTACCAGCCAGTGCCATAAGGAAAACCATTCTGGGACTCTTGAGAGGGGCAAAGCATAATTTGCATGTGGGAGAAACGTTAATAGTTTGTGGCCAGAGGACAAACTGTGGTTTATTAAAGACTGCTGCAGGTTCCTACTATTCTTCTCATCAAGAGGTGGAATCTAATCACCTTCCCCCCTTGAATCATGGCTGGTCTCAGTGATGAGTATGACTGGACAGTGTGGCAGGATAGATGCTCTGGGACTTCTGAGGGATGATCATGAGAGGCCTTACAGCTTCTGCCTGGGCCTCTTGGACACACACCCTGGGAGAAGCCAGACAAACCTGAGTAACTGACACTGCCAGACTGGGAGGAAGTCCGTGCTGGCCACAAAGAGAGGGCTCGGTGCCTGCTCCATGTCCCCAGCCACTAGAGTCCTTCTGGGTGCCTGCTTCATGTCCCCAGCCACTAGAGTCCTCCCAGATGAGACCAGGGACATCACGAAGCAGCCAACCCACACTGCCCTGTCCAGTGTCTTGACCCAGAAAATTGTGACATGTAAAAAGAATAAATTCCTGGTTTAAGCCAGTAAGGTTACTGGTACATTGTTACATTGCAGATAATTAAAACCTTGAAAAACTCATGAGAGATCCCAAGTAAAACCTTGATCTGAAACATGGCATGTGGTGATTTATATTGAGTATTAGGTTAAAAATGCAAGAATGGAGCATAGTTAATATTTTACGTTAAAGCTAAAACTATAATTGCCCACTTAAAATTTTCAGTTAATTAGGTTGTCACTTTTTGTTCTTAACCAAGATATCAACTAGTTTTAGTACATAAACAGTTGGAACTGATGCACACATCCGTTTTTCCTTACTCATTTTAAGCAGCTATCTGAAATAGGAAGCGTAATATAATCTTTAAAGAATCTGAAAATATGACAGAAATGTTTAAACTATAAACATATATTGTAAATGTTAGCATATTATATACATTGCATATTAACATAAGCTAAAATCATTGACATAAATTTATATAAACAAAAGGTAGAAAATATGACAATGTTCTTCTTGTTTTTTGTCTTTGCATATTTCTTTATTGGCCCTTGTCAAATGTGACCCACTAACTCCTGAATGCTTTCTCTCTCCCCATGGATTCCTAAGGATGTCACCACAGTGCTGGCCAGATGCACAGGTCACAGGTGACTGAACCTCATCACCCCACAAACACACCCTTCAGGTTTTGCCAAGAATGACACTGTAAATATAACAAAGCTTCTGTGCTTGTTAGTGAACACCAACTCAGCTTCTCTCCTGTATTCGGAAATCAGGATGAGATGAAAACAACAAGCAGGCCAGGCACGGTGGCTCACGTCTGTAATCCCAGCACTTTGGGAGGCCGAGGTGGGCGGATCACCTGAGGTCGGGAGTTCGAGACCACCCTGATCAAAACAGAGAAACCCCATCTCTACTAAACATACAAAATTAGCCGGGCATGGTGGCACATGCCTGTAATACCAGCTACTCAGGAGCTGAGGCAGGAGAATTGCTTGAACCCAGGAGGTGGAGGCTGCAGTGAGCTGAGATCACACCACTGCGCTCTAGCCTGGGCAACAAGAGCGAAACTCTGTCTCAAAAGAAAAAAAATAAAAATAAAAGAACAAGGAAACAAAAGTAACAAGGCTTGACACCAGATGAGCCTGAATCTAAGCAAGAAAAGCCCAGAAGAAATCCCATTTTGGGTCACTGGCTGCACGGTAGTAATGCCATACACATAAGGGAAGAGAAGAGGATGTGGCTTTCACTTCGAATTTTTTGAGCTTAAGGTAAATTTGGATAGCTACAAAGAAGCATTCAACAGAGAGTTAAACCTATGATGGAAAGACTGAAGAGGTCCAAGCTGTAGAGAAACAGGACTGCAAACCACAAAGGGCTGAATCAGTCAAGGAGAACTGCAGGGCAAGATGAACAGGGACCAATGGAACATTTGGACAAGCTGTTGAGAAGAAAGGAGAATTCAGAGAAAAAGAACTGTCAGTGAGGTCATAATAGGAACTGTTACAGTGAACTAAATATGGCCTGGGAAGGACTCTGTACTTCTAGATTTGAGTCCCTGTGGACAAACTGCAACCTAACTTAATAGGTAGAAAGACTGAAAACCTAACTTAGGAGTATGTGCCTAAAACAGTAGCTGAGTCGTGGCCAATCCCAACAGCCAAACTTCTGCCACTCACACACTGCTGAGTGTTCAGCTGTGTTCAAATAAGGCAAATGCTGAGCACTGTAACCAGTCCAGTTGTTTCTGGACCTCACTGCTGAGAACTGTAATGGACCCAGTTGCTTCTAGACCTCACTCCTCACTTCAGATTTTTGTACATCATGTTCCCTTTATTGTCTATAAATCTTCCACCATGTGTCTGTGCTGGAGTCTCACCAAATCTGCTGTGATTCTGGGGGCTGCCTGATTCGTGAATCATTCATTGCTCAATTAAGTTCCTTTAAATTTAATTCAGCTGAAGATTTTCTTTTAATAGATGGTGTCAGAAGTGGGATCTGTGGGAGCAGGACTGCTAGGGCCTCTGGAGCTATACTGTGGTGAGCAGTGTTGCTAAGGCTTCTAATGACCCCCAGAGTGCTGAGGTACAAGGAAGGAACCTGAAAGGACCCGTTTGTGATGGCAGCAGTGGCCCACGTGGAGCAGTTGCTATGGAGACACTGGCTGCAGTGGGGAGGAGTGGCTGGGGCTGTGCACTCCTCAAAGCTGGTGGGAGCCAGGAATGGGTGGGAGACCTGTCCCTTCTAAATTATCAGGCAGGAACCCCGCCCTCCCAGGCACAGCTGCAGCCATCCAGCCATGACTGCAAACCCGGGCATCTCTGCACTCTCAGAGGCCCAGCAAGCCCCCCTGCCCCGCAGGCTCAGTTGTACCTGGTCCTGCCACCTGGCGTCCCTCTGCTTCCAGAACCCACTCCAAATTCGGATCCAAGTTGAGGCCAAACCCGGGCACAGTCACAACACGGCCCGGTTTGTGCAAGCTCAGGGCAGTGCTGACATGCCAGCCCCCTGCCACCTTGGCCCCCTCCAGACTTTGGGCACTGGCAAGCACAGGAGGGAGGGTGAGGTGGGGCTAAGAGTGGCTCAGCAGTGGCCAGAAGGCCCTCCTCAGCTCGAACGCCTGGGCACTATGGGCACAGCTACCCACCGTGCATCTCCTCTCAGCTGCTGAGAGCTGAACAGACGTTGGGATGACCTGCCTGCAGAAAGGAACTACCCACTGCAGGTCTCCTCTGAGCTGTACTGTGGCTCAATAAAGCACCTCTTCACCTTGCTCACCTTCTACTTGTCCACATACCTCATTTTTCCTGGACTCAGGACAAGAACTCGGGACCTGCCAACTAGCAGGGCTGAAAGAGGTGTAACATAAACAGGGCTGAAACGCGCTCCTTGCTTGCCAAATTGCAGGCAAGAAGAAGAGAAGAGAGAAGGAGAGAAGAGCTGTGTCCCTTCAGGGAACACAGACCTAGGAGCTCCCCCAGCCAGGGCTGTGACACCTTCTTTGGGGCTTTGCAGGTCCTGCATCTCCAAGCTTCTGGGTGCCACTGCATTCCCTGATACCCACAGTGGAAGCTGTTTGCAGTCGGCCTGGTCCAGCTGCAGCCTCACAGGGAGCTGGCATCTGTGCCTGGAGCTGCCCACCCCACTGCAGCTGGCATGCTTGGCTGTGTGCAGTGGCCAGATCCCATGCTCGCTTGCTCACACACCCCTCACTGCTCTGTACCCAGCTCGCCCTTGGCAGGTGTGGGATCCAGACCACTAGCATGAGCTGAGTGGACAGAACTAACCCAGTGGGCCCAAGCAAAACACAGGTAAAGGCTCCACCAGCCAGAGGTTTCAGGCAGAAAAGTGACGCCTCAGATTCTGTAACACTTGTGTCCTTTGATCTCTCGGAGCAGCTGGGGATCATGGTAAATTTTCTCTCGGATTTCAGAGCTCCATGGATTTGTGTTTTGAGCTCTGAGTTTCTTTGAGCAAATTTCTGTTCCAAACTGCTATCCAGCCATGACTGGCTGGATGTTTTAGAAGTTATGACAGAAAAGGGACCAGGTCCAGGATCAGATTTGATCCAGTAGTTAACTGGCTTGAATCCAGTTCCAGTTAGAGGCCTCCTACATCTGACTGGGTCAGAAGGAAAGTGGTAGTAAATGATAATATTGGAAGGTTGTAACATTTGGCTTTTGAAAATTCACAGGGATTTTTGTGTTCTACCCCTTTGTTTCATTTTTCTCGCATTCTTAAGCAGGAAAAAAAAATCATTGGCTAAGTTAATGAAGGGAACCCGGGAGTAAAGCCAATATTTTTGGTAAAAATAGGATCCTTAATTTCTGGAAAACTAAGCTCCTTCTGGCTAATACATTAGGCCTGGGAAGCAGCAAAGTCTTACAGAAATGGCAAAATCTTATTAAGATAACTTACAGTGGAACATTCCAAATGAATAATGCCCTGAAGTGCATTTAAAAATGAGGGCTCCCAAATTAGTCTCATCTAGGGATGCCTATTAATATGCAGAAGCTTCTAAAAAGATTTAGAGATGGCACGGCCCATCTGGGAGCAAGTTTGAGTCTTACCAGTTTGATACTGGGTGCTGAGCAAAGTGGCACGTGTCTATGTTTTGTCACATGTATTTTGCTCTGGGCAGAATGAAAAATGTTAATTTGGTTACTCCAAGCAACCCCTTGGGCTGCATTTGGCAAAGCTGAGTGGATTCTTCCTGCGATTCCATGATTTTCCATTGTGATGCAGCTTGGCCCCCAGAGCTATAATGTGGTGAGGAGGGTGACAGAGCAAGACGCAATCTTTAAAAAAAAAAAATGGCCAGGTGCAGTGGCTCGTGCTTGTAATCCCAACACTTGGGGAGGCTGAGGCAGGTGGATCACCTGAGGTAAGGAGTTCAGGGCCAGCCTGACCAACAAGGAAAAACCCCGTCTCTACTAAAAACACAAAATTAGCTGGGCATGGTGGCCCATGCCTCTAATCCCAGCTACTCAGGAGGCTGGGGCAGGAGAATCGCTTGAACAGGGGAGGCAGGGGGTTGCAGTGAACCGAGATCACACCATTGCACTCCAGCCTGGGCAACAAGAGGGAAAATCCATCTCAAAAAAAAAAAAAAAAAAAAAAAGAAAGAATAATAGGTTTGTCTATAAGGTTTTATGAAAAAGTGGGTGACATTTGGCTTTCTCTCTTTAAAGAAGATGTTCAGGTAATATTAAAAAATAATGAAAAATTTGTTTGCCTTTTAAATAAACTACCAAAAAAAAAAAAGGAAAAACAAGAGGCAGATCGTTTGTGAAGATAAGTCTTCCCTCTATCAATGAGTAAAGATTTTTGCCCTTTAAAACTTTTTTAAGTCATGATTTTAAGTAAATGAATGACTTACGGTGACCTGGAATTCTATTTCATAACATCAAGTGTTTAAACTTTTAATATATTTAATAGGCTTCCCAAAATCAAATTTCAACTTCAAAATTGTCTTTTCTGACCTCTACCTTTGGGATACTACAGAGGCCCTTGAAGCACCCAAAAGAGAGGTAAACAGGACTATTTAACATGTTAAGTCACATGGGTAGCACTGTCAAAATAAAACATAATGTTGAACCTTCTTGAGGTTATATTTAGTTTATGTCATCAACCCTTTCTAAAATTGTATAGGATTTCTAAAATTCTTTTTTTTTTCCCCCGAGACGGAGTCTTGCTCTGTCACCAAGGCTAGAGTACAGTGGCACAATCTCGGCTCACTGCAACCTCCGCCTCCTGGGTTCATGCCATTCTCCTGCTTCAGCCTCCCGAGTAGCTGGGACTACAGGCATCCACCACCATGCCAAGCTAATTTTTGTATTTTTAGTAGAGATGGGGTTTCACTGTGTTAGCCAGGATGTTCTCATCTCCTGACCTCGTGATCCTTCCACTTCGGCCTCCCAAAGTGCTGGGATTACAGGCGTGAGCCACTGCAACTGGCCAGGATTCTAAAATTCTAATATGCCTATATGCTATCTATCATAATTACCTGTTTTGTTTGTTTTGAGACAGAGTTTCGCTCTTGTCACCTAGGCTGGAGTGCAATGGTGTGATCTAGGCTCACTGAAGCCTCCACCTCCTGGGTTCAAGCATTTCTCCTGCCTCAGCCTCCCAAGTAGCTGGGATTACAGACAACTGCCACCACATCCGGCTAATTTTTTTATTTTTAGTAGAGACAGGGTTTTACCATGTTGGCCAGGCTGGTCTCAAACTCCTGACCTCAGGTGATCCACCTAACTTGGCCTCTCAAGAGCTGAGATTACAGGAATGAGCCACCACATCCACCCTAATTATGGTTATTAAGTTATTGTAGACCACAGAAATAAGCAAATTTCCTTATCAATTGTCTTTAACTATAACTATTTAAAGTCATTTCCACAGTTAATTGCTTAATGGTGATGCAGTTTCTAAAAGCTTCACAAGCATGCAAAATTCTAGAATAGAAGATTCATGAAAGAATGAAAAGGAACATGAAAAACACTCGGGAACACAGGTTTCTAATAACTTTAATATCATAGGTAAAAATTCCCCATAAGTTCCCCGATCCCCCAATAATTGGACTGGTTAAGAATTCTCAAAAGTTAGGCTGGGTGCAGTGGCTCATGTTGGCAATCCCAGCACTTTGGGAGGCTGAGGCCGGTGGATCACTTGAGGTCAGGAGTTTGAGACCAGCCTGGCCAATGGTGAAACCCCACCTCTACTAAAACTACAAAAATTAGCCGGGTGTGGTGGTATGCATCTGTAATCCCAGCTACTCGGGAGGCTGAGGCAGGAGAATCACTTGAACCCAGGAGGCGGAGGTTGCAGTGAGCCAAGATTGTGCCACTGCACTCCAACCTAGGTAACAGAGTGAGACTCTGTCTCAAAAAAAAAAAAAAAAAAATCCTAAAGTTTAATAAGAAGACCAACTGGTTTATAAAACTGCTAACCCAAGTAAAACAAAAATTGAATATCAAGGAAATATTTTGCCAGATTTGCATGCTAAATCACCAATATTGAAATTGTTTAGATATATAATTTAAATACACTCCATGGTCTAAGCCAAATTACCTATAACTCATCAGTTACCAGTGCCATGCACCTAATTTGAAGAAACAGCTGGTAGTCAAGAGGATGTAAGTCTAATGTTAATTAAGCACGGACTTATGAAGAACCAGGATGGCCACCTTTCCGTCTTAAGTCCTTAAAACTTTTGTTATTAAAAGTTCTGCATTCCATAACTCATCATGGAAAGAGAAAATGATCCAAATTAAATATATTGCTGTGGTGATCTCTAAATTGCTAAAATAGTTTATAATCAATGTTTGGTTTGTCGAACCTATATTCCTAGGAAAACAATCAAAACTTCAGGTGCATTTGGTTACCTGATGGGCCATTTAAACATTTTATAAAGGGATTTCATTCAGTTGTCATTTTCAGTGCATGTTTTCTGATTGTAAAAAAGCTCTTCCATGCAAGAGGGTTGATGTTAAAACAGTAGATTATTATGCTGAAGTGTATTTTCACCAGCTAAAGAAAGCCTTTTATGGTTCACAGAGGACAGCCAACCCCTTCACAATCTAGAATATGATGACTGGATCTTCTGAGAACATCAGAGGACTGCCCTTGCCATCCACATGACAGCAAAACTTTAAAACCTTAAACTTTGGGTTCATAGTCTTACAACTCTGAAGGGTCCCTCCACACTCGGAACCATACACCCCTTGGAACCCTTAAGGTAAAGCTAACAAGGACAGTTCCCCCCCAGAAGAAGATGGCATCCTTAATGTGAACAGCTTTTCCCAAGATCACAGATCAAGACTTCTCTACTATCATGAGACTATTATCTTAAGTATCTGTGCAGCTGCTAACATGGCATATGGAGAAAACATCGGGTATTATAAAGATTTGGTTGTAGGGAATTAACAAAAAAACCCACTTAGTTAAGCAAGTAAACTCTTTATCTAATTCATTCTTTAATCTATTTGATTTTAGGTGGTTTGATTTATGGGGACCCGGAGTAAGGAGCATATACCAAATTCTTGGTGTTATCCCAATAGTCATAAGAGTCTCCCTGGTGCACTGTACTTACTCAAATGTTTTAAGAGTTTGCATGCAGCCATCTCTAAAATGTCAAATGGTATCTCTTCATCTGGAATGACAACAGATTAAAAAAAATGTGCAACCATAAGGACACCGTAACCTATGAGTGACATGCTAAACCAGAAACCCAAAACAATGGGAGTGACATGCTAAACCAGAAACCCAAAACAATGGGACTGATGTACTAAAACCGGAACCCAAAACAATGGGAGTGATGTACTAAAACCAGAACCCAAAACAATGGGAGTGACGTGCTAAACCAGAAACCCAAAACAATGGGAGTGACGTGCTAAAACCATTACCCAAAACAATGGGAGTGATGTGCTAAACCGGAAACCCAAAACAATGGTAACTAAGAGTGAGGCTAAGGCCCTACATTTTGGTCACACTCTCAACTAAGTGAGAACTTGACTGAAAAGGAGGATTTTCTTTTTCTGAGACAGAGTCTTGCTCTGTCCCCCAGAGTGGAGTGCAGTGGCATGATCTCGGCTCACTGCAAGCTCTGCCTCCCGGGTTCAGGCCATTCTCCTGCCTCAGCCTCCTGAGTAGCTGGGACTACAGGCACCCGCCAGCATTCTTGGCTATTTTTTTGTGTATTTAGTAGAGATGAGGTTTCGCCGTATTAGCAAGGATGGTCTCAATCTCCTGATCTCGTGATCTGCCCACCTCGGCCTCCCAAAGTGCTGGGATTACAGGCATGAGCCACCGTGCCCAGCCAAAAGGAGGAATTTTTTAAGCAAAATTCTGGGAGGCCATTGTTTTGAACTAAGCTCATGCAATAGGTCCCAACAGAACAAACCAAACCAAAATGGAGTCACTCATGCTAAATGGAACATAATCAAACTAAGACTTTAAGGAAACACATAAATCCTAGAACAAACCAGGTTTTGTTTTTCTCCTGTAAACAGGATATTCCAGCATAAGAAGACACCTTCTACTCAAGTCCTTGTTCCACCTTTTCAAATCTCACTGTTCTATTTCCCAGTGGGTTTCTAAACCAAATAAGTACATTTGCAAGGGTAATAGTGACACCAGTGACTGAAGTTTTGGCTAATCTCTCAAAATTGAGAAAATAACCAAAGGGAAGGCATTGTTAAAGTGAACTAAGTATGTCCTGAGAAGGACTCCATAATTATATATATGAGTCCTTGTGGATGACCTGCAACCTACCTTAATAGGTAAACAAGAATGAAAACCTAACTTGAGTGTATGCACCTCAAACAACAGCTACATCTTGGCCAATCCCAATGGCCAAACTTCAACCAATCAGGCACTGCCAAATGTTCAAACTGTGCTCAAACAAGGCAAACGCTGAGTTGTTTCTGTACCTCACTTCCGATTTCGTTATGCCACTTCCCTTTTGTCTACAAATCTTCTTCCACCACATGACTGTGCTGGAGTCTCTGTGAATCTGCTGTGATTCTGGGGACTTTCCGATTCATGAATCGTTTATTGCTCAGTTAAACTCCTTTAAAGTTTTTCTTTTAACAGAACTAACACGGAAGAATTTCCAGATCATGAACAGATGTTTTGTAATACCCAACGTTGTATTAACATGAATAGACTCTTCCTTAGATAGCTAACCTTGTTTTTAATATGAATAGACTCTCCCTTAGCTGAGAAAACCAGACAAACTCCATTTGGCTCCTTCATTTACAAGACATCAAGGGCTCCTTACCCACCCCCTTTCCTCAAGGACTTTAACTTGTGCAAGCTGATTTTCAACATATCAAAGAGTGCAATTAACTGATAAAGTGCTGAGGCAAGTGATGTCCGCAGTTCCCAGCAAATTACTCAGAGATAATATCATAAAGCCCCCACATTTGTCTGGAAGATAAAGCCCAGAGCACCCTCACTCATCACTTTGTGGTGAATTTAAAGCCTCTGCACCTGGAACAGTTTGTTTTCCTGTAACCATCTGTCTTTTTAAGTTTTTTGTCTGTTTTTTCTTCTGTAAGTTTATTGCAGCTGGAATCCCCCCTCCCCTCTCTAAACCAATGTATAAAAGAAAATCTAGCCCATTCTTTAGGGCCGAGAGTATTTCCTGTGTTAGCCATCTCTCAGTCACCAGCTAATAAAGGACTCCTGAATTCGTCTCAAAGTGTGGCATTTCTCTCTAACTCGCTTGGGTACGACAGTTTCAACTATGGTAGAAGACTCGAGTAAGACAAATACAGCCCCCCTAAATTTGACTATTATTTAGGTTAATGGTGAGTTTAGAAGAAATAAGTTAAGACTACACAGAGTGGGCTAAATTGCAAATAAACACTGAAAATATTTCCCAGAAAATATGACTTTGAACAGGCTGCTGCACACCCTGCATGTAGAGATAAACTAAGAAAAATGTGTGGAGAGTTATTTAAGGACCTGTGGTTAACTCAGTCCTCAAGATGTTCCGGGTTTCATCCATGAGTCAAGGAGGACCTCCCAAAAGCTGTTTGGGACCACACTCTTTGAGCAAGGAGCATACCTTATGATGGAAGCTGTGCTTTAGCAGCAGATGACCATTTCCACTGCACAACACGCCGTGCTTTAGCAGACGATGACCATTTCCACTGTACAACATGCTGTGCTTTAGCGTCAGATGACCATTTCCACTGCACAACACGCCATGCTTTAGCGGAAGATGACCATTTCCACTGCACAACACGTCATGCCTTAGCGGAAGATGACTGTTTCCACTGCACAACACTACAAGTGCTTACTGCCAGACCGGTGTGAAATATGTTCCAGCACATAATCTATGTCACCAATGAAGGTGGTGGTTAAGACTTGGTGCACACAAGCTTTCCTGTCCCACAAGAATACAGCGTGCTCTCTTTTCGGGTTCCATTCCAATCACGTAACAAACATGACTGCCTTTTTTGTTTCGGCATCAGAAAGATCAGAGGAAACTTTGCACTCAACTTAGACAACTCTAAGCTTTTATAACCTGTCTATATCTACAGGTCAGCTTTATCTTATTTATGTATATTTCCTTCAACCTGAGTTTTACTTATTTCCACTTTTCCTTTTTAATTCACAGACACCCATAAACTCAGAAAATACAGTGTAAAACAAAGTGAAGAACAAATAAACAACTCACCAGAGATTTATTCGTTTCTTGTTGCTCTTGGAAACACCCAGAGGACACTGGAAACATAGCTGGAAGAGAAGGCAAATGACGTCGATTAAGGAGAGAACTGGTGAGGTGTGGTCCCAGATTCTTCTGCCCAACACTCTAGACACATTACCTGGAAAAGCCCTCCTCCCTCCGGAAAAAGAAAAACTTCCCCATGGGAGAAGAGTCCTTCACACCTCATTAGTGGCAGCAAAGACTCAAGTTAAGATAAGATACATCTACAAGTACATTAATTGGTAGACATTAGATGCACAATTTATTTTTGAATAAAAATATGTATTACCTACTAATTTAGTAACAATATTACCTAAAGATATAATCTAATAATTTAATACAAAGAAACATTATAAGTTCACTAAAATAAATGTTATAGAAATATACTGGGCTGTATTAACCATTTTCCTATTAATATGTGGATTCCACAAATAACTTCATATGAGTATTCCCATGACAGTACATCTTGCTTTTCTATACCTCAACATCATGGAAAGTGCATCTTGCAACCCAGCAATTTTGGCCTACGTTTTTTAAAATGTACATAATATGTATTTCCTACAGTACACGATTCTACTCATGTTTCCCAATAACACCTTTCCCTGTATCCAAGCCCTCATATTATGCTCTGACAATAAATTGGGCTTTTCCATCTGACTTGTCCAGTGAATGGACAATGGAAAATGTGATGCAAATATCCATTGGTTCTTGCCTTTTTGGACACAGTCATATTGTGAAGAGGTCTGGAGCTACCCTGTTGGAGACACAGGGCCTAGCCAAGAGTCACCACAAACCACCAGATTGTGAAGGAAACTATCTTAAACCAACCAGGCTCAGTCAAGGCACCAGGTGACTAAGGCCTGTTTTGTGATCCAGGCAACACAAATATATCAACTACACAGCTGAACCCACCACACCAAAATGCAGATCCACAGAACTTCAAACAAATAAAATGGTGGTTGTTTTTTATAAGCTAGTAAGGTTTAATTAGTTCCTTAAACAGCAAATATTAACTGTTACACCTAAGTGAATAGAATTCAATGTTTTTAACGAAATTATGTAGGGGGAGAAAGTCTTAAATTACAAATCAAATGCAATCAATAGAACTTCACAATCTATGCTATATTTGGTGATGGACTAGGTTTAATATATCTCAGACACTGGAAACAACAAGGTAAGTTTGAAGGAATGGGACTGTATTTGGAGAGTATTTCAATCTTTTCAAGTATGACAGGTCACTCCTGCACCCCAGACCACACTTTCAGGCCCCTTCAAATAAGGAATATTTCCTAGGTCCTTGCCTGTTCTTCTCAGCTGAATTCACCTCAACCTTCTGAAAGTTCTTCCAAACCTTCCACTATCACCTAGTCTTTGCAAATCTTGTGCATTCCAGGGAGTAGAATTAATATTTCCTGAGCGAGGAAAACTGGGATCTTCACCTGCGACCTTTTATCCTCCTCTGAAGCACCAGTGAGAGGTTAGACCACAGGGCTGTTCTTTCAAGTGCGCTTCTTATTCATAGGGAACCCTCCCTTTCAAACTTTATAACACACAGTTAAGACTGAAGTACCCTTAAGGCTGAAGACCATCATCCAGTACCCCATCTCCCTGGCGGAATCAGTGAGTTCCTCCATGGAAACTAGGTCTCTATAAACTTCCATAAATGCAATCCAGGAGGACTAGGCAGGTCACACAGTGAAGGAGGGAACCAGAAACTTCACTTGCTAAATAGACACCAGGAAACCCAACTAATACAAACGCCCAGCTTAAGACTAGAGGCACACGCATTTCGCACTACTCCTCTGGGAATGGGGAACGTCTCCCGAGAACTGTGTGTTAGCACGGGGACAGATGGGCAAACTGAGCTACATGAGGGTTGGTAACCGGGTCCCTCAGCGGCAGGACAGGAGCGCGGCCTGCAGACTCCGGGCCCAGGGCCACCAGCCTCGCCTACCCACTCCTGTGCCTCTGGAACCCGCTTCACTGCTGGGACCCCACGTCTGTCCTCCCAGCCCCCGCCAGGGTCCACGGCCCGCAAATGCACGTCAGGCCCCTCCTGCCCGCGATGCGCCCACGCGTCTGCCCCCACAAATGGGGAACACTGGTCTGGCCCCCCGGGATCCCCCGAGGCCCACAGGTTCCTCCTCGCCCTCGCACCTACCCACAGGGACATAGAACCAAGCCCCAGGCCTGCTCAGCTACACGACCACCGCTGGGATCCGCACTTCCGGAGGAAAATGGCGAAGTGGGCGGGGTGGCACATGCGTAGAGAGAACCTGGTTCCCAAGGTCCTTGATGGTAAACATCATTGGAAGGTGACACTACATTTCCTATGAGGCTCTGCGGTCCCCCGTTAGGAACGCACGCCGGACATTCTGTTTTGCCCAGCAGTGAGTCCAGTTACCTGGAGACCCGGACTTAATGGATCAGGACTGGTCCCTACCCACGTGACACAGATGTGGCATTCTGGTTCGTTATTAAATCCTGGATTCACAGCCTGGGACATTGTGAAAATAATGGAGAAATTCCAATAGAAACCAATTGGTCTATGCTGTTAATGAGTAACTTTTTTTTTTTTTGAGATGGAGTCTCGCTCTGTCACCCAGGCTGGAGTGCAATGGTGCGATCTTGGCTCACTGCAAACTCTGCCTCCCAGGTTCAAGAGATTCTCCTGCCTCAACCTCCTGAGTATCTGGGATTACAGGCGGGCGCCACCACACTCGCCTAATTTTTGTATTTTTAGTAGAAACGGGGTTTCACCATGTTGGTCAGGCTGGTCTCTAACTCCTAACCTCGTGATCCGCCCTCCTAGGCCTCCCAAAGTGCTGGGATTACAGGCGTGAGCCACCGCGCCCAGCCCTCAAGTCTATTTTTTATAGATGCATTCGAAAGCATGAAAAAAATCATGTCTCTATTTTACTTTAAATTTTTAAAAACACAACTAATGAATATGGTAATTCTCTTCCAATCTGTTATCTTTTCTCTCACGAAGCTAATTTGTGAGCTTTCAATTTACACAGTTAGAAAAAATTGCTCTAGTGTATATACTAGGATAAAATAACAGGGTCATAAGACAAGTGCACTCCATAATCTTTGTGACAACTTACACTTCCAGTGTCTGATGAACATTTGCCCATAAACTCCCACGTTTCATCCATCCATCCATCAGTCAAATCTACCTATCTTTATTTATTTATTGTGCGAAATACCTGAACTTTGCCTTTCCTTCCCTGATTTCTGCCACAAACTAGGCAAGGAGTTCTGCCTAGGGGTTTTTCAGAGCTCCGGCTACCACCGAGGTTCCTAACAGGGAAATTGCCAGCTTGAATGCTTGGGGTTGATGTGGGAGTGCGTGTGAAACGGGTGTGGGGTGAAAGGGCAGTGAACTTTGTAGGTGGGTAGATGGGGGTGTGAAGGGCTTTCAGGTAAGAGGCACAGAGGAAACTGGGAGAGGCAGCGAAAGCACTTCACGCCTCAGATAACCAGAAGATGCTCCCACCAGCGCCATGACAGTTTGCCAGTGCCATGGCAACACAGGAAGTCCCCACCCCTTGCCATGGAAACAGCTGGAAGTTACTGCCCATTTCTAGCTATTTCTGAGTAACCCGCCCCTTAATTAGCATGTCATTAAAAGTGAATTATAAAAATGACTACAAGCCACCCTTAGGCTGCTACTCTGGGAGCACAACCCACAGAGGGCTCCCTGCCCTGCAGGAGCGGACGCAGGGCTGTAACACCGCCAATGCCTCCATAGAGCTGCTTTATTCCACCACAGGCTTGCTTTTGGATTCCTTCCTGAGCGACGCCAAGAACCTGCCCTTCCTCAGTGTGACTCTTGCCTAAAATCTATCCCTGGTTTTCTCTTTTCCTAAGCATGCCCTGACTTGTTCTTTCATCTCCTCTGAACTTGCAATTGCTCCTCAGTGACTCTATTCTGCAGATCCAGAAAACTCAACCTTAATCTTCCCAGAGCCCTGTTGTCTCCAATATTGGAATCTCTAGCCTTGCTTTCTCAGACACCTAGATTACAGTCCTCTCTCTTGAACACCTATTGGTAAGGTATCCGGGGATCCTTTAAATACACGATGATTGGCAGGGTTTACATAGGGGAAATCAGTGCCTGACAATTCGCCTTCCAGGATATGGATTGTCATTCCCTCTCTTTGTGGGCCCCAGTCTCCTATACATAAAAGTAGAGATTGTAATACTCATTTGACTTGCAGATACCTCACCCCGAACCCACCTACTATAACGTAAAAGCCAAGAATGCAAACCCTTTCCTCACCCCGTGAAGGTAAAGTCCTCAGAGCCAAGGAGAGAAGGCTCAGGGATGGTACCTGGGTGTTTCCAACACTAACCATGCATTGTAGTTTTTAGTGTTCAAGTTTAAGCTTCTTATGTTAAAGTTACCCCAGCTTTAATTATATTGTAACAAGATTTATTTTTGTAATCCCATTTTTGGATTCTTGATTTCTTGGTAAAGAAATACAGTTATTTTTGTATACCAATCTTATATAGTGTTACATTCCAAAATTTGTTCATGAGTCCTAACACTTTTTAGTAAATTTCTTATGATTTTCTAAATGCAAGATCATGTCATCTGTACATAAAGATAACTGTACTTCTTCCTTTCCAATCTAGATGCCGTTTATTTATTTACATTGCCAAGTTGTCCCAGCTACCACTGTTATCAAGTAAAAGGGTCTCACTGCCCAAAGCTCTAGAAGCCAGTAACATGACACTGAGTTTTTGAGAAGAGAAAAACTTTAAAGTCAAACCAAAACCTATGGGATACAGGCCAGGCGCAGTGGCTCATGCCTGTAATCCCAGCACTTTGGGAGGCCGAGTTGGGTGGATCACAAGGTCAGGAGATGGAGACCATCCTGGCTAACACGGTGAAACCCCGTCTCTACTAAAAATACAAAAACCAAAAATTAGCTGGGCATGGTGGTGGGCACCTGTAGTCCCAGCTACTCGGCTGAGGCAGGAGAATGGCATGAACCCAGAAGGCAGAGCTTGTAGTAAGCCAAGATTGCACCACTGCACTCCAGCCTGGGCAACAGAGAGAGAGTCTGTCTCCAAAAATAAACAAAAACAAAAAAACAAAAAACAAACCTATGGGATACAGTAAAAACAGTACTAAGGAGTAAGTTTATAGCAAAAAGCACCTACATCAAAGAAAGTAGAAAAACTTCAAATAAACAACCTAATAATGCATCTTAAATAGTTAGAAAAGCAAGAGCAAACCAAAACCAAAATTAGTAGAAGGAAACATAACAACGATCAGAGCAGAAATAAATGAAATTGAAATTTAAAAATATAAAATATCAATGAAATGAAAAGTTAATATTTTTTTAAAAGATCAACAAAATCAACAAACATTTAGCCAGACTAAGAAAAAAGAGAGAAGACTCAAATACATAAAACCAGAGATTAAAAAGGACACACTGCAACTGATACTGCAGAAATTCAAGTAATCATTAGAAACTATTATGACCAACTATATTCCAATAAATTGAAAAGCCTGCAAGTAATGGCCAGGCACCGTGGCTCATGCCTGTAATCACAACACTTTGGGAAGCCAAGGCAGGTGATCACCTGAGATCAGGAGTTCAAGACCAGTCTGGCCAACATGGTGAAACCCCATCTCTACTAAAAATACAAAAACTAGCCAGGCATGGTGGCATGCACCTGTACTCCCAGCTACTCCAGAGGCTGAGGCAGGAGAATCGCTTGAACCTGGGAGGCAGAAGTTGCAGTGAGCTGAGATTGTACCAAGCTCCATCCTGGGTGACAGAGCAAGACTCCATCTCAAAAAAAAAAAAAAAAAAAAAAAAAAAAAAAAAAAAAACACAACCAAACCACAAACCTAGAAGAACTGGATAAATGAGATTGAACCCATAATAAAACATCTCCTAGCAAAGAAAAGCCTGGATCCAATGGCTTCACTGATTAATTTTACCAAACACTGAAGGAAGAATTACTATCAATCCTACTCAAACTATTCCAAAAAACAGAGAAGTCTGTAATATTTCCAAAATCATTCTATGAAAAAGACCATTCATCGTGTCTAAGTGGGATTCATCCCAAGGATGCCAACATGGTTCAACATATGCAAATCAATCAATGTGACACATCATATCAACAGAATGAAGGACAAAAAACATATGGTAATTTCAATTGATGCTGAAAAGCATTTAATAAAATCCAACTTCCCTGTGATAAAAAGAAACCCCCAAAAAAACTAGATTTAGAAGGAACATACCACAACACAATAAAAACCATATGCAACAAACCCTCAGCCAGTATCATTCTGAACAGAGATAACCTGAAAGCCTTTCTTCTAAGATCTGGAACAAGGCAAGAATGTCCACTTCCAACAATGTTACTCAACATAGTACTGGAAGTCCTAGCTAGAGCAATCAAGAAAATTGAAAAACGGTAAAGGGCATCCAAATTGAAAGAAGTAAAATTATTATTGTTTTCTTGTTTGCAGGTGATTTGATCTTATATTTGGAAAAACCTAAGAACTCCACCAAAAAACTATCAGAACTGATCAACAAATTCAGAGTCACACGATACAAAATCAAAATGCAAAAATCAGTAACATTTCTAAATGCCAAAACTGAACAATCTAAAGAAGAAAATCAAGAACGTAATCCCATTTACAATAGCTACAAATAAAATAAAATATCTAGGAATAAATGTAACAAAAGAAGTGAAAGATCTCTACGATGAAAACTATAGAACACCAATGCAAAAAAATTAAAGAAGACACCAAAAAAAAAAAAAAAAATTGAAAGATAGTCCATGTTCATTGATTGGAAGAGTAAATATTGTTAAAATACACATACTTCACAAAGCAATCTACAGACCCAATGCAATCCCTATTGAAATACTAATAACATTCTTCACAGAAACAGAAAAAAAATCCTAAAATTTATATGAAATCATAAAAGACCCAGAATACCCAAAGCCATCCATAGCAAAAAGAACAAAACTGGAAGAATCACATCACCTGACGTTAAATTATACTACAGAGCAATTGTAAGCTAAACAGCATGATACTGGCATAAAACAGACACATAGACCAATGGAACAGAATAGAGAACCCAGAAATAAATCCTTACATTTACAACTAACTCATTTTCAATGAAGGTGCCAAGAATATACATGGGGGAGAGGACAGTCTCTTCACCAAATTGTGCTGGGAAAACTAGATATTCATTGGCAGAATTTTTTTTTTTTTGAGATGGAGTCTAACTCTGTTGCTCTGGCTGCAGTGCAGTGGCACGATCTGGGCTCACTGCAAGTTCCACCTCCCGGGTTCACACCATTCTCCTCCTCAGCCTCCCAAGTAGCTGGGAGTACAAGTGCCCCCACCATGCCCAGCTATTTTTTTTTTGTATTTTTAGTAGAGACGGAGTTTCACCGTGTTAGCCAGGATGTTCTTGATATCCTGCCCTCATGATCTGCCCACCTCAGCCTCCCAAAGTCATTGGCAGAATAATTAAACTAGAACTCTCTCTTGTGCTATATACAAAAATCCAATCCAAATGGGTTAAAGACTTAAATCAAGGACAAGAAACTACTGAAAGAAAACATTAGGGAAACTCTCCAGGAAATTGGTCTGGGCACAGATTTCTTGAGTAATTACTCCAAAAGCTCAGGCAACCAAAGCAAAAATGAACAAATGGTATCACATGAAGTTCAAAAGTTTCTGCATAGTAAAGAAAACAATGGACAAAGTGAAAAGACAATCCACAGAATGGAAGAAAATATTTGCAAACTATATATCTGACAAGGGATTAATAACCAGAATATATAAGGAGTTCAAACAACTCTATAAGAAAAAAACTAATAATCCAATTATTTAAATGGGCAAAAAATCTGAACAGACATTTCTCAAAAGAAGGCATGCAGGTCAGGTGCAGTGGCTCACACCTGTAATTCCAGCATTTTGGGGAGCCAAGACAGTTGGACCACTTGAGCCCAGGAGTTCAAGACCAACCTGAAAAACATAGCAAATAATTTTAAAACCTACCTGGGCATGGTGATGCATGCCTGTGGTCCCAGCTACTCAGGAGGCTGAGGTGGGAGGATTGCTTGAACCCTGGTAGTCATAACTACAGTAAGCCATCATTATACCACTGCACTCCAGCCTGGGTGACAGAGTGAGACACTGTCTCAAAAAATGAGCAAAAACAAAAAAGAAGATATATAAATGTCAAATAGGTATATGAAAAGATGCTCAATATCACTGATCATCAGAGAAATTCAAATCAAAACTACAATAAGATATCATCTTACCCCCATTAAAATGGCTTTTATGCAAAAGACAGGCAATAACAAATGCTTGCAAGAATGTAGGGAAAAGAGAGCCCTCTTACTCTGTTGGTGGGAATGTAAATTAGTACATTCACTATGGAGAACAATATGGAGGTCCCTCAAAAAATTAAAAATAGAACTATCATATGATACAGCAATCCCACTGCTGGGTATATACCCAAGGGAGGGAAAATTAGTATATGAACGAGATATCTGCATTCCCATATTTATTTCAGCACTATTCATAATAGCCAAGATTTGGAAGCAACCTAAGTGTGCATCAACAGATGAAGGGATAAAGAAAATGTAGTACATGTACACAATGGAGTACTCTTCAGCCATGAAAAAGAATAAGATTCTGTCACTTGCAACAACGTGGATGGAACTAGGGAACATTATGTTAAGTACAATGAGCCAGGCACAGAAAGACTTTGCATGTTCTCACACATTTGTGGGAGCTAAAAATTAAAACAATTGAACTCATCAAGATGGAGAGTAGACTGAGAGTTTCCAGAGGCTGGGAAGAGTAGCGGTGTTACGGGATCTTTGGAGTGTCACTTTTCTGGACAGAAACCTCTATGGCTGGTGGCACCTTTACCTGAGTTTTGCTTGGGCCCCGCCCACTCAGCCTGGCAGGCTGTGCTCAGCTCATGCTACCAGGTTGGATCCCATGTTTGCCAAGGGAGACTGCGTGGAGTGGCAAGGGGTGTGTGAGCAAGCATGGGGTCTGGCCACTGTGCAGTCAGACTTCCTGGCTGCTGCAGTGGGGCAGGTAGCTCCAGGTGCCAACATGGGTGCCAGCTCTCCACAAGTCTGTGGCTGGACCACGGGCACCGCAAGCAGCTTCCGCAGCTGGCACACTGGGAACACAGTGGCACCCGGAAGCTTGGAGATACCAGGAACCACAGGGCCCCAAAGAGGGAATCACAGCCCTGGCTCGGGGAGCTCCCAGGTCTGGGCTTCCCAAAGGGTCACAGCTCTTGTTTCCTTCTCTTTGCCCACAATGTGGGAAGCAAGGGGCATGACTCAGCCCTGTTTGTGTTACAGCTCTTTCAGCCTCTTCCCTAGGATTTGTCATAATTAATTCTCATATCGTCTTATTTTTTTACATGTGTTTCAACTTCAGAAGATGTATGGATCTAAACACAACATGATGTGTTAGCTAGCTGCCATATAAGTTTCTCCCTGTTTCACCACTATGCAGCCTAAAGTTATTCCGTCATCGATGACTATCCTGGCTAAAGCGTCTAAAGATCTTTGTTTGGTAGCTATGGCTTCAGCTAGTTCATTCGCTAATTTACCTAGAGTGGTTGACAGATTTCTAATTATACGTTCATGAGAGGTTACTCCCCACCATTGCAAGTGACTTCTGCCAAACATTGGCCAAAATTCACCTCCTTGGTTTGCAGGTATGGTTTGTCTAATCCTGTAAAGTAATTTCGATGAACTACTTCAGTGTTCAGAAACATTGGAGTTATAAATAGAAAGAGGAAAAGTCACATAAACTAATAGACAATTACTTCTCATATGCCAGCGGTCAACACATTCATAAGCCCATGGGTGGTTGATCCAGGGACCACACAGGGTCCCTGACAGACTCTGAAAGTTAAGGCTTTGGTTTACTGGTAACAGAGACAGGTTAAAGTACATGTCTTCAGTCTTGAGTAGAGTGTAATCAGTCTCATTTTTTTTTTAATGAGACAAACATCAGGTAAAGACCTTGACAAGAAGGAAGAGAAATCCCGAGATTCTATAATCATAATAATCGAATTGTAATTGCTAGTTTAAGTAGTCCTTCAAAAATACATCTCATTCCTGACAGGATAAAACAAGTTTTAAAAAATATATTATATTCAGATTCACTAGGGAACACTTGGAGCCAGGAAATAATTCAGGATTCAGCCCAAATTATAGGCAAATAATAAAAACTCTAAAACAATGATCAGGGTTGGAATCTAATAGCATATGTCATAGTTTTCTTTTGGAACATAAATTTTCTCTCTAGTCCATCATTTTATCAAAGACAAATCATAGTAGGACCAATTTTGTATGCAAAATAAGTTTTAGTCTTATCATACCGGGCCTGATTATTTCCATAAAGGGCAGCAAGAATATTTATTGGCCATATAGGCTTCTTAAAATTGGCCTTGTTGGAAATTTTTAATAAGGAATCTTTTAAGAGCCTTGAAGCTAGCCAAGTCAAAGATTTGCATCAGACTGTGTCTGTAATAATTTTTTAACCTACTTTTTAGAATTATACTTTAAGTTCTGGGGTACATGTGCAGAACGTGCAGGTTTGTTACATAGGTATATATATTCTGCAGTGGTTTGCTGCACCCATCAACCCATCACCTATATTAGGCATTTCTCCTAATGCTATCCCTCTCCCTGCCCCCACCCCCCAACAGGCCCCAGTGTGTGATGTTCCCCTCCCTGTGTCCATGTGTTCTCATTGTTCAACTCCCACTTATGAGTGAGAACATGTGGTGTTTGGTTTTCTGTTCTTGTGTTAGTTTGCTGAGAATGATGGTTTCCAGCTTCTTCCATGTCCCTGCAAAGGACATGAACTCATCGTTTTTTATGGCTGCATAGTATTCCATGGTGTATATGTGCCACATTTTCTTTATTCAATCTATCATTGATGGGCATTTGGGTTGGTTTCAAGTCTTTGTTATTGTGAACAGTCCTGCAATAAACATACATGTGCATGTGTCTTTATAGTAGAATGATTTATAATCCTTTGGGTATATACCCAGTAATGGGATTGCTGGGCCAAACGGTATTTCTAGTTCTAGATCCTTGAGGAATAGCCACACTGTCTTCCACAATGGTTGAACTAATTTACACTCCCACCAACAGTGTAAAAGCCTTCCTATTTCTCCACACTCTCTCCAGTATTTGTTGTTTCCTGACTTTTTAATTTTCGCCATTCTAACTGGCATGAGATGGTATCTCATTGTGGTTTTGATTTGCATTTCTCTAATGACTAGTGATGATGAGCTTTTTTATAAGTTTGTTGGTTGCATAATTGTCCTCTTTTGAGAAGTGTCTGTTCACATCCTTTGCCCACTTTTCAATGGGGTTGTTTTATCTTGCAAATTTGTTTAAGTTCTTTGTAGATTCTGGATATTAGCCCTTTGTCAGATGGATAGACTGCAAAAATTTTCTCCCATTTTGTAGGTTGCCCGTTCACTCTGATAGTTTCTTTTGCTGTCCAGAAACTCTTTAGTTTAATTAGGTCCCATTTGTCAATTTTGGCTTTTGTTGCCTTTGTTTTTGGTGTTTTAGTCATGAAGTCTTTGCCCATGCCTATGTCCTGAATGGTATTGCCTAGGTTTTCCTCTACGGTTTTTATGGCTTTAGGTCTTATGTTTAAGTCTTTAACCCATCTTGAGTTAATTTTTGTATAAGGTGTAAGGAAGGGATCCAGTTTCAGCTTTCTGCCTATGGCTAGCTAGTTTTCCCAACATCATTTATTAAATAGGGAATCCTTTCCCCAGTGCTCGTTTTTCTCAGGTTTGTCAAAGATCAGATGGTTGTAGATGTGTGGTGCTATTTCTGAGGCCTCTGTTCTGTTCCTTTGATCTATATATCTGTTTTCGTACCAGTACCATGCTGTTTTGGTTACCATAGCTTGTAGTATAGTTTGAAGTCAGGTGGCATGATGCTTCCAGCTTTGTTCTTTTTGGTTAGGATTGTCTTGGCTATTCGGGCTCTTTTTTGATTCCATATGAAATTTAAAGTACATTTTTCCAATTCCGTGGAGAAAGTCAATGGCAGTTTCATGGGGATAGCAGTGAATCTATAAATTACTTTGGGCAGTAGGTCACTTTCACGATACTGATTCTTCTTATCTATGAGCATGGAATGATTTTCCATTTGTTTGTGTCCTCTCTTATTTCCTTGAGGAGTGGTTTGTAGTTCTCCTTGAAGAGGTCCTTCACATCCTTGTAAGTTGTATTCCTAGGTATCTCATTCTTTTTATAGCAATGGTGAATGGGAGTTCACTCACAGCTTGGCTCTCTGTTTGTCTGTTATTGATGTATAGGAATGCTTGTGATTTTTGCACATTGATTTTGTATCCTGAAACTTTGCTGAAGTTGCTTATCAGCTTAAGGAGATTTTGGGCTGAGATGATGGGGTTTTCTAAATATACAATCATGTCATCTGCAAACAGAGACCATTTGACTTCCTCTTTTCCTAATTGAATACCCTTTATTTCTTTCTCTTGCCTGATTGCCCTGGCCAGAACTTCCAATACTATGTTGAATAGGAGTAGTGAGAGAGGGTATCCTTGTCTTGTGCTGATTTTCAAAGGGAATGCTTCCAGTTTTTGCACATTCAGTATGTTACTGGCTGTGGGTTTGTCATAAATAGCACTTATTATTTTGAGATACTTTCCATCAATACCAGTTTATTGAGAGTTTTTAGCATGAAAGGTTGTTGAATTTTGTCAAAGGCTCTTTCTGCATCTATTGAGATAATCATGCAGTTTTTGTCATTGGTTCCCTTTATGTGATGGATTACATTTATTGATTTGCATATGTTGAACCACCCTTGCATCCCAGGGGTGAAGCCGACTTGATCATGGTGGACAAGCTTTTTGATGTGCTGCTGGATTCAGTTTTCCAGTATTTTATTCAGGATTTCTGCATCAATGTTCATCAGGGATATTGGTCTAAAGTTTTCTTTTTTTGTTGTGTCCCTGCGAGGTTTTGGTATCAAGGTGATGCTGACCTCATAAAATGAATTAGGGAGGATTCTCTCTTTTTCTATTGTTTGGAATAGTTTCAGAAGGAATGGTACCAGCTCCTCTTTGTACCTCTAGTAGAATTCGGCTGTGAATCCATCTGGTCCTGGAATTTTTTTGGTTGGTAGGCTATAATTAATGCCTCAATTTCAGAACTTGTTATTGGTTTATTCAGGAATTTCACTTCTTCCTGGTTTAGTCTTGGTAGTATTCTCTGATGATAATATGTATTTCTGTGGGATCAGTGGTGATATCCCCTTAATCATGTTTTATTGCATCTATTTGATTCTTCTCTCTTTTCTTCTTTATTAGTCTGGCTAGTGGTCTGATTTGTTGATCTTTTCAAAAAACCAGCTCCTGGATTCATTGATTTTTTGAAGGGTTTTTCGTGTCTCTATCTCCTTCAATTCTGCTCTGATCTTATTTGTGTCTTGTCTTCTGCTAGCTTTTGAATTTGTTTGTTCTTGCTTCTCTAGTTCTTTTAATTTTCATGTTAAGGTGTCAATTTTAGATCTTTCCTGCTTTCTCTTGTGGACATTTAGTGCTATAAATTTCCCTCTACACACTGCTTTAAATGTGTCCCAGAGATTCTGGGACGTTGTGTCTTTGTTCTCATTGGTTTCGAAGAACATTTTTATTTCTGCCTTCAATTCTTTATTTACCCAGTAGTCATTCAGGATCAGGTTACCCAGTTTCCATGTAGTTGTGAGGTTTTGAGTGAGTTTCTTAATCCTGCATACTAATTTGAATGCATTGTGGTCTGAGAGACTGTTTGTTATGATTTCCATTCTTTTGCATTTCCTGAGGAGAGTGTTACTTCCAATTATGTGGTCAATTTTAGAATAAGTGCAATGTGGTGCTGAGAAGAAGGTATATTCTATTGATTTGGGATGGAGAGTTCTGTAGATATCTTTTAGGTCCACTTGGTCCAGAACTGAGTTCAAGTCCTGGATATTCTTGTTAATTTTCTGTCTCATTGATCTAATATTGACAGTGGAGTGTTAAAGTCTCCCACTATTATTGTGTGGGAGTCTAAGTCTCTTTGTAGGTCTTTAAGAACTTGCTTTATGAATCTGAGTGCTCCTGTATTGGGTGCATATATCTCTAGGATAGTTAGCTCTTCTTGTTGCATTGATCCCTTTACCATTATGTAGTGCCCTTCTTTGTCTCTTTTGATCTCTGTTGGCTTAAGATCTGTTTTATCAGAAACTAGGATTGCAACCCCTGCCTTTTGTTGCTTTCCACTTGCTTGGTAAATGTTCCTCCATCCCTTTATTTTGAGCCTATGTGTATGAGATTGGTCTCCTGAGTACAGCACATTGATGAGTCTTGACTCTTTATCCAATTTGCCAGTTTGTGTCTTTCAATTGGGGGCATTTAGCTCATTTACATTTAAGGTTAATATTGTTATGTATGAATTTGATCCTGTCATTATGATACTAGCTGGTTATTTTGCTCATTAGTTGATGCAGATTTTTCATAGTGTCAATGGTCTTTATAATTTGTTATGTTTTTGCAGTGGCTGTTACCAGTTGTTCCTTTCCACGTTTAGTGCTTCCTTCAGGAGTTCTTGTAAAGCAGGCCTGGTGGTGACAATATCTCTCAGCATTTGCTTGTAAAGGATTTTATTTCTACTTCAATTATGAAGCTTAGTTTGCCTGGATATGAAATTCTGGCTTGAAAATTCTTTTCTTTAGGAATGTTGTATATTGGCCCCCACTCTCTTCTGGCTTGTAGGCTTTCTGCCAAGAGATCCACTGTTAGTCTGATGGGCTTCCCTTTGTGGGTAACTCAACCTTTCTCTCTGGCTGCCCTTTATATTTTTTCCTTCATTTCAACCTTGGTGAATCTGATGATTTTGTGTCTTGGGGTTGCTCTTCTTGAGGAATATCTTAGTGGTGTTCTCTGTATTTCCTGAATTTGAATGTTGGCCTGTCTTGCTAGGTTGGGGAAGTTCTCCTGGATAATATCCTTGAGAGTGTTTTCCAACTTGGTTCCATTCTCTCTGTCACTTTCATGTACACGAATCAAACATAGATTCAGTGTTTTAACATATTCCTCTATTTCTTGGAGGCTTTGTTCATTTCTTTCACTCTTTTTTCTCGAATCTTTTCTTCTTGCTTTATTTCATTGAGTTGATCTTCAATCTCTGATATTCTTTCTCCTGCTTGATTGATTCAGCTATTGATACTTGTGTATGCTTCATGAAGTTCTTGTGCTGGGTTTTTCAGCTCCATCAGGTCATTTATATTCTTCTCTAAACTGGTTATTCTAGTTAACAATTCGTCCTACCTTTTTTTTCAGGCTCTTAGCTTCCTTGCATTGGGTTAGAACACGCTCCTTTAGCTTGGAGGAGTTTGTTATTACCCGCCTTCTGAAGCCTACTTCTGTCAATCCATCAAACTCATTGTCTGTCCAGTTTTGTTCTCTTGCTGGTGAGGAGTTGTGATCTTCTGGAGGAGAAGAGGCATTCTGGTTTTTGGAGTTTTCAGCCTTTTTGCACTGGTTTCTCCCCATCTTTGTGGATTTATCTACCTTTGGACTTTGATGTTGGTGATGTTGATACTATTCCTTTATGTTTGTTAGTTTTCCTTCTACCAGTCAGGTCCCTCTGCTGCAGGTTTGCTCGAGTTTGCTGGAGGTCCACTCCAGACCCTGTTTGCCTGGGTATCACCAGTGGAGGCTCAGTTGGAAATGCATGAACCACCTGCCTTCTGTGTTGATCCCACTGGGTGTTGCAGACCGGAGCTGTTCCTATTCAGACATCTTGCCAGCTCTCCTGTAATACTTTTATGAATGGGTGTAGTCCTATCTTCTCAAGGTCCCCAAATAACTTGAGGTTCCTGGGCCCGTCAGAAAATGACATTCTTTACTTCTTACCACAAGGACAGCAACTTTGTAAAGGACCCTTGTAGACAAGACACCAAGCCAGTCATTCTAAGGGGCTTTGCATTGGTGCTATAAAGTCAAGCTCAATTCCTTAAAGTGGTCTGGTTGTATCTGCCGTTCGAGTTAAAGCCTTGATAAAACAAACAGTGTCTCCAATTGAATCCTGTTACCAAAAACAGATTCTTATTGAAATTATGCAAATAATTATATTGCCATAATTTAGGAATGCTCACGAATGGCTTCTGAATTCTGGAGAAATCAGTGAGAGAGACAGATAAATCGCTCAAATTTTTGTTCACAATGTAGTTTTTCTAACGTAGGGCAAGTTAAAAATAGCTGAAAAGAAAAAAAATTCTTGACTTTGGAAAACAAAACATAAAGAGAATCAACAATGTTTCCAATGGAAGGGCCATGAATAAAATCTTTTCCTTCTTTTATAAGTTCAGTCCAATGTAACTAAATCTTGTTCTGCTTGATTTCAAATAGCAATTCTCATTCAGTTTTTTGTGTTTTGCTTGATTTCAATTGGAAATCCTCATTCAGCTTTTTAGAGTCCTGGAAGATTTTCCTAGTCCAATGGTATGATCCCCAAAGTTATCTGAAACCATATTTAAGAGAACTTGTCAGAGTCCTTTCCATTAAAAGTAATTTAGATGATAGCTGATTGTAAAGGCTTTTTTTTTTGAGACATGGTCTGGTTCTATCACTCAGGATGGAGTGCAGTGGCATGATCTTGGCTCACCACAATTTTTCCCTCCCAAACTCAAGCCATCCTCCTACCTCAGCCTCCGAAGTAGTTGGGACCATAGGCATGCACCATCATGCTGGCTAATTTTTGTATTTTTGTAGAGACAGGGTTTTACCATGTTGCCCAGGATGCTTTCAAACTTCTGAGTTCAAGCAATTCACCCACCTCGGCCTTGCAAAGTGCTGGGATTTTTACACGTGTGAGCCACCGTGCCCTGCACCACGCCCAGCACTGTGCCCTGCACAGCCTCCAGCAGCACGCCCGGCCTGTAAAGGGTTTTAGAGAAGAACTTTAAACAATCAACGTGGATGACAAAAACTTAGAATATCCTTTGGTTAAAATCCAGTGGAAGTTCTCGACCTGCGAGAAAATTTAGTTATTTCTATTATATGTAGCATTTTAAGATAACAGCCAGAATCATGACTGACGGCAACACATCAGATCCATCAGACATCCACAAATTTTATATAATCTTTAGAATATTTATATTAATAATATATCTATACATATACAACTTTAGAGAATATTTAACATCATCAAAATTATGACTGATACCATATTAGATTTTTATAATTTATATAACATTTAAAATATTTATATTAATAATATACCTATAAATGTAACCAAAAGAAGATTTAGGCCAGGCACAGTGGCTCATGTCTGTAATCCCAACACTTTGGGAGACCAAGTTGGATAGATCATCAGAGGTCAGGAGTTTGACACCAGCCTGGCCAACATGGAGAAATCTTGTCTCTACTAAAAATACAAAATTAGCCGGGCGTGGTGGCATGTGTCTGTAGTCTCAGCTACTTGGGAGGTTGAGGCAGGAGAATCGCTTGAACCTTGGGGCAGAGGTTGCAATGGACCTAGATCACGCCACTGCACTCCAGCCTGGGTGACAAAGCAAGATTCTGTCTCGGAGAAAAAAAAAAGATTTAGTGTTACTTATCTTTTGGCAATGCTTCCCATACAATGTTATCAACTAAGATTTAGCAAAGATGTCAAAAAATTGAAAACACTTGACCAAAACAGAATGACAGTTTATTGTTTTTTATTTTATTATTTTTTTGAGACAGGGTCTCACCCTGTTGCCCAGGCTGGAGTGCAGTGGTGAAATCATGGCTCACTGCAGCCTCAACTTCCCAGGCTCAGGTGATCCTCCACCTTAGTATCCCAAGTAGCCAGGACTATGAGCACTTGTTACGACACATAGCTAGCTTTTGTATTTTCAGTAGAGATGTGATTTTGCCATTTTGCCCAGGCTGGACTTGAACTCCTGGGCTCAAGTGATCCACACACCTTGGCCTCCCAAAGGGCCGGAATTACAGACATGAGCCGCTGCACACAGACACATGTCATTTTTAAATAACAGTCATTCATTTAATTAGAATGACAACCAAAAGACATCAAAAGCAACGTAGAAGGTTACATGGATGTGATAACTGAAAACCCTCAGTTTTCCCAAGTAATTAAAAAAAAATAAAGGCAACACATGGATTATCTTGATAAAACCTAAAATCTTTATTACAGGCCAGTCATTTAAAGGGTAAAACTCCTGTGGCATAACTGTGTCTTCTTACGGGAAGCTAATTTAAATCACTTGGAAGTCAATTCCGATGACAAGGAGACTTGAATTTAATTAGACATAGAAAGAGTGTGTCCAGGGTCATGAGTGAGCATAATATTACAAAGGAATGTCAACAGGAAAACCAGAGCATAGAGCAGTGGGGATCCATAGCTCACAATGATAGCAAGAAAGTTTCCTGGTTACATGAAGTAATTAAGACATATTTAAAAGCCAATAGTATAAAATAAGACCTGATGAAAAAGCTGAAGGAGTTATCATCCCAGCCAAGCAGGAAACCCAAGCCTTTTATTCCTTCTCAAGAAGGAACAGGAGACAGTGATGTGATCTGTGAGTCATGTGTAACATGAAAGTACAGGAAAAGTTGAACTTCTGATATACAAATCTGAAAAGTTTTTATAGTAACAGATTTCAGGATTAAAAGTCAATATTTATTACCTCTTATTATGAGCAAATAAATACATTAAGAAAACCTTGTTGTTTTAACCAAAATTTTTAGTTTTTTATCACTGTTTTTAATATTATAGCTAATTTAAATAAACTTTATAAACAATCTATCTGATCTCAATCAGTTTTGGCCTCGATGTAAGATTTACATAAACTTTTAATAACCTTGTATAATTTTTTCATCTTTCCCAACTTTTTACACACATGTAGTTTTATCTATCTTTTTTATTCCTTCAATTTAAAATAATCCTTAAAAATCTCTAAGTGAATTTACTTTCTCTGAAACAAAAACCGGTATACATTTTGCATACAGAATTGTTTCTCTTGTATCTAGTAGTCTTAATCACACATATCTAGCAAGATATTAACACTTAGTAACCCTTATTTTAATAAAAAACCTAGGAAGCAAGAAATCTGGAATTGTCATATAGCAGTATCTTACATATGAGAATAATTTCATAATTTAGAATTATGTGTTCCTAAAACATATTTTTTAAGATGGATTTTCGCTCTTGTTGCCCAGGCTGGAGTGCAATGGTGTGATCTCAGCTCACTGCAATCTCCGCCCCCCAGGTTCAAGTAATTCTCCTGCCTCAGCCTCCCGAGTAGCTGGGATTACAGGAACCCACCACCACACCTGGCTAATTTTTTGTATTTTTTAGTAGAGATGGGGTTTCACCATGTTGATCAGGCTGGTCTTGAGCTCCTGACCTCGGGTGAGCCACCGGCCTTGGCCTCCCAAAGTGCAGGGATTACAGGCGTGAGCCACAGTGCCTGGGCTAAAACATAAGTTTTAAATTGGAAATAACCCAGATATTTAATGAGTATCTATTATTTAATTTAACATAACTAAAATTTCAAAAATAGGCTGGGCATGGTGGCTCACACCTGTAATCCCAACACTTTAGGAGGCCTAGGCAGGAGTATCATGAAACCAGCCTGAGCAAAATAGTGAGATGCTGACTCTACAAAAAAAATAAAAGTTAGCTGACCATGGTGGTGTATGCCTGTAATTAACAGCTACATGGGAGGCTGAGGTGGGTGGATCCCTTGAGAGCAGAAGGTCAAGGTTGCAGTGAGCTGTGATCATGCCACTGCACTTCAGCCTGGGTGACAGACAGAGACACTGTCTCAAAAAAATTTCAAAAATACATTAAGATGTCTTGTATAGACATTTATCCATTTACATTTACTTATTTTTGACAGTTTATCTAGAGTATTTGTGAGAACTGAGGTATTAGACAAAGCTAGTCATCATTTCTAGGTTATTTTCTTGTTAACCATGTTATAGCCTGTGAATATCAGGAGTTCACGTAAGTGAGGACTTCAAAGTTAAATACATGGGTATTTTACCAATAACTCAGAAAATTCCATTATTTTTGTTCAACAAAACATATTAAATTGGTCTTATGTATTTAAAAAATCACATAAACAAATATTCTTTTTTCCTGTGTTTATAGCTTTATAACCTTCATGCCAAACCCTAGCACCTTAAAATATCTAGCAAATGTAAATATAAAACACAGTCAAAAACGTATGCTGACAAGTCTGAAGAGATTTCTATTTTCTATTTTTATTTTATCAATACTTTTTAAATTATTTGTATTTATAAAAGAACTCTTTTGTCTGGGCACAGTGGTTCATGCCTGTATCCCAGCACTTTGAGAGGCTGAGGCAAGAGGATCACTTGAGCTCAGGAGTTTGAGACCAGCCTGGGCAACATAGTGAGACCCAATCTCTACTAAGAATAAGATAAAAAATTGCCAGGCATGGTGGTGCATGCCTATTGTCCCAGCTACTAGAGAGGATGAGGCAGGAGGATTGCTTGAGCCTGGGAGGTTGAGATAACAGTGAGCTATGATCCCACTACTGCACTCCAGTCTGGGGAACAGAGTGAGACCTTAGAGTGAGACCTTGTCTCAAAAAGAGAAAAAAATAAAGAATTGTTTCATTCTTTTGTTTTTCTTCAGCCAAGTGACCTTGAATTAGTAACACCACAGACAGTAAGTCTTATCTCAACACCAGTAGACAAATCAGCAGATTCAAAGTAGGCAGGGAAAAAAAAATAGATAGGCAAAAGAACTGAGACTTTTTCACTTTAGGGTTTTTAAAAATAGTAACTATTTGAGTTCTGAATTTTCTTTCATGTAATTTGGCCATCAGGTTTAAAGTGTGCACTAGAGGTCAGGTGCAGTGGCTCATGCGTGTAATCCCAACACTATCGGAGGCTGAGGCAGGTGGATCACTTGAGGCCAGGAGTTTGAGACCAGCCTGGCCAATGTGACAAAACCCCATCTCTACTGAATATACAAAAATTAACTGGGTGTGGTAGTGTGCACCTGTAGTCCCAGCTATTCAGGAGGCTGAGGCAGGATAATTGCTCAAACCTGGGAGGCGGAGGTTGCAGTGAGCCGCGATTGTACCACCATGCTCCATCCTGGGCAACAGAGCAAGACTCTGTGTCAAAAAGAAAAAGGAAAAAAAAGTATATATATATGTATAGGCTGGGCACAGTGGCTCATGCCTGTAATCCCAGCAGTTTGGGAGGCCAAGGCGGGTGGATCACTTGAGATCAGGAGTTTGAGACCAGCCTGGCCAACATGGTGAAACTTCATCTCTACTAAAACCACAAAAATTAGCCGGGTATGGTGGCACACACCTGTAATCGCAGCTACTCAGGAGGCTGAGACAGGAGAATTGCTCAAACCTGGGAAGTGGAGGTTGCAGTGAGCCAAGATCACACCACTGCACTCCAGCATGGGCAACAGACCAAGACTCTGTCTCAAAAAAATGTGTGTGTGTGTGTGTGTGTGTGTGTGTGTGTGTGTGTATGTGTGTGGCTAGAATGGTCCATAATATATAGCCAGCTCGAGTCCTAGAAAACCTAGCAAGCTTAAGGTTAGAGCTTCTCATTTTGGCCTTTTCAAGATTAAATCTCCTTTAGTAGGCCCTTCCCCTCTAGGGAGGTACTTGCCGGAGCGCTGCCTGAAGTTGGTTTTCTGATGCCCTGTTGTTTCTGTTCTGAATGGTTTATTTCTCATTATAAGAGCTCAGCAAAGCAGGCAGAGTTAAAAAGCAGAGACATGAAGGCTTTAAAATCATGGACTTCACTCCTACACTGAATCTCAGGTCCCCAGAAAGACAGAAACACCATGGGACCACAGCAAAGGCAGAAGGAGGAGTGAGAGAGGGAGGTGGACAGAACAACAAACAGGAGTTGGCTCTCATTTTTTCACGCGTGCCATTTTCTTTAGGTTTTTCTAGTTTATGGAGTCTCTTTGTTCCAGTTGAGCACACAGATAAACTAGAGATCTCAAGGCTTTTGCTGAGAACATCAAAGCCTTTAACCTCTGTTGGGCCAAATATTTAGACCAAAAATACAGACAGACACACAAAAGCCAGAACCGGACCAGATTGAGTAGCTTAGTGGCTACAGCCTTTATTCCCTTTATTCTTTAGGATACGAACTCAAACCAGATTCAGGGTTCTAACCCAACCAGGACCCCCCTGGGGTGAAACTGAAACCCCACAGTCTAGACAAGGTTGGGGGTCTTTTTTTATTTTTTATTTTTTTGAGATGGAGTTTCACTCTTGTTGCCCAGGCTGGAGTGCAATTTTGCAATATTGCCTCACCGCAACCTCCGCCTCTCAGGTTTAAGCACTTATCCTGCCTCAGCCTCCCAAGCTGGGATTACAGGCTTGTGCCACCACGCCCAGCTCATTTTGCATTTTTAGTAGAGACAGGGTTTCTCCATGTTGGTCAGGCTGGTCTCGAACTCCCAACCTCGGATGATCCGCACACCTAAGCCTCCCAAAGTGTTGACATTACAGGCATGAGCCACAGTGCCCAGCCTGCTTGTTCTTTTCATTTCATCCTGATCTCCGAATACAGGAGAGTAGCTGATTTGTTGTTCACTAACAAGCACAGAAGCTTTGTTACATTTACAGTGTCATTCTTGGCAAAACCTGAAGTTTTGCCTCCTGGGTTCACGCCATTCTCCTGCCTCAGCCTCCTGAGTAGCTGGGACTATAGGCGCCCGCCACCTCACCCAGCTAATTTTTTGTATTTTTAGTAGAGGCGGGGTTTTGCCGTGTTAGCCAGGATGGTCTCTATCTCCTGACCTTGTGATCCGCCCACCTCGGCCTTCCAGAGTGCTGGGATTACAGGCGTGAGCCACCGCGCCCAGCCAGAAGCTCTAATTTCAATGATGATTGTGCTTTTTCTCTCTTCCTCAGCATCTGGCTCATGATAAAATTTCAGGTGTCTTGATGGTATCTAAATCAGTTGTTGATTCGGTCCTGGAGAAACACAAGCATAACCTCTATGCCAAGTTATAATTTTACCTATTTCCCAACTTTTTGTTATTGGATCTCTCCACCAAACCAGTTGTTCTGCTTCTGTCTTTGCAGCTGGTTTCTGTAGATGCTGTTCAGCTGCTGGTAACATCTGGCCTTTGGGCAGGCTCAAAAATTTGAAAGTTAATAATGCAAGATTCAATTGTGTATGGGCTATCCCGTAATCCCTGTTTCTCCCCCTTTTTTGTTTTTATTATCAGTTGTTCGTCTGTATGAAATCTTAACTGAGCATTTTCAATTAACTGTGTGGAATGACCCATGTATGAAGAATCAGAAATCACATTAACAGGCATATCAAAAGCAGCCAACACCTCAATTACAGCTACAAGCTCCGCCTTTTGAGCTGAAGTATAGGGTGTCTGGAAAACTTTAGCTTTTGATCCAGAATAAGAACCTTTACCATTACTAGACCCATCTGTGAAACAATGAAAAAGCTTAGCAGGCTGCAGGTTGTTTACTGCAGGAATTGTAAATGCAAACCGTTCACAGTCTTGCTCAGCTAAAAGGGTAGTAAAGAAACAGTCTTTTAAATCTGTGACTATTAAAGGCCAATTTTTTGGAATTATAGTAGAGAAGGGAATCCTGGCTGTTATATTTCCATAGGTTGTATAACTGAATTGATGGCTCTTAAGTCAGTTAACATTCTCCATTTACCTGATTTTTTCTTAATTATGAAAACTGGAGAATTCCAAGGGGAAAATGTTGGCGCTATGTGCCCATTTTCTAATTGTTCAGTAACTAATTTCTCTAAAGCATCCAGTTTCCCTTTGCTTAGCAGCCATTATTCTATCCAAATTGGCTTATCTGTTAACCATTTTAAAGGTATAGGTTCTGGAGGCTTAACTATGGCCACCATCAAAAATGGTATACTAATCTTTGGCAGGAACTTTGTCTTTCCGTTTGAAGCAGTTCTTTCAAACCTTGCAATTTTTTTTCTACTCCTATACCAGGGACATGCCCCATTTCGTGCATCATATGTTGACTTTGAGGGCTGTATACTTGTTATGGAATTAGAACTTGTGCTCCCCATTGTCATAATAAATCTCTCCCCCATAAATTTATAGGTACAGAAGTTGCAATTGGTTGAACAGTCCCAGGTTGTCCATTGGGCCCTTCACAATGCAAAGTATAGCTACTCTGATACACTTCTGGAGCTTTAGCAGTTTCCACTGTGTTAAATTGAGTGGGCTGAATTGGCCACATGGACAGCCAGTGCTGTAGAGAAATAATTGAAATGTCCACTCCTACCAAAAAAAAAAAATAGTATCTACCAAACCTTTAAAGTTCTTTCCCTGGATAGTTATTTCACAGGTAGGATGTTTATCAGTAATTTGATTTACCCAATAAGCTGCCTTGCCTTTTTTATTTGTGCTTCCAAATCCTCCAGTTCATTTAATTTCACTTTTTCCCATTCCCACATACGGCTCACTCAGGAGCTGTGCTATGCGCACTCCTGGCTGTGCTTTCCAGGGAACAGAACTAAATATCACAATTTGAATTTCCTCATTGTAATCTGAATCAATGACTCCAGTGTGTATTTGTACCCCTTTTAAACTTAAACTAGACCTTCCTAAAAGTAATCCCATTGTCCCTGCTCGCAACAGTCCACAGACTCCTGTTGGGACCTTTTGCGGGGGTTCCCCAGGCAGAAGGCTCACAGCTTTTGTGCAGCATGGATCTACTGCAGCACTATGGGCTGTGGTGGGGAAAGATAACGTATGGGGGTGAGGGAATGGCCTGAGATGGAAATGCCCTGGTTTAGAACAGGGCCTGGGATGGGCCCCTCAGGGAGTTTCCCAAAATCGGGTTCCCTTCTTTATCAAACTTAGAGTGACACTGATTAGCCCAAAGTTTTCCTTTTTTACATTTTGGACATATTTCAGGATCAGCAGTTTTGTTTTTTCCCCTATCTAGTGGCCTGACTCGGTGATTTTTTTTTTTTTTTTACATTCTTTTTAGTATGACCATGCTTCCCACAGTTAAAACAAGCTCCAGGAAATAGAGTATTTCCTTTATCCACTCTCAGTCCTGCCATCGCCTGTGCCAACAAAGTAGCTTTATGTAGATTATCTCTGATATCATCACAGGCCTTGTTATAATCAACTAAATGTGCTTTCCCTCTGATAGGTCGCAGAGCAGCCTGGCAATAAGGATTAGCATTGTCAAAACCAATAACTGCAACACTATATCCTAAGCAGCCAAATCTGCAATCATCTTTTCAAGAGACTCCTGTAACCAAGCTATAAAATCCACATATGGTTCTCTTGTTCCCTGTTTTATAGCACTAAAGGAAGGGTATTGTTCTCCACATGAAGTGATTTATTCCAAGCTCTAATGCACACTCCTCTAAGCTGTTCTATGGCATCATCCTGCATGACCACTTGTACATGTAAACCAGCCCAGCCACCAACCCCCAAAAGTTGGTCTGCAGTTATATTAATTTGAGGTTGGGCCCAGGCATTGCGAGCAGCCTGAATGGAAGCTTCATCTGCCTACTAAGTTTTAAATTGTAAGAACTGAGCAGGAGTTAGACAAGCTAGAGTAAAAGTGTCCCAGTCAGTAGGAATCATCCGACTGGAAACAGCAACATTCTTTAACAGTCCCATTTCAAAAGGAGAACCTGGTCCATACTGATTTATAGCTTGTTTAATTTTTTTGAGTGATTTAAAAGGAAAAGGCCCAAATGTAGCTATAATATTTCCCTGTTGATCTGGGGGGTGTATTCAAACAGGGAACTGCCAAGCCTCTAAATCCCACTTTTGTCTAGCTTGCTGTATTCCTGCCTGAATAGAACGAAGAACAGTCGCTCAAGGCGCTGCTCAGTCACCAGGGCAACTACTTTTCACCCAGTGTCCTCCAGAAAAGAAAGATCTGGAGGGTCGTTTTCTTCAAAATAGTAATGAGGGTGTGCAGAAGGATAGGGATGAACCTCTCCCTCCTTTTCTGCTTTAGCTTTAGGTGACAAATAAACCTGGTCTGTAACCTCTACTGTTACTTTGTTATACTCTCCTTCCTCCTCATCATCAGTGTGAAAAAGTTCCAAGGTAGAACGAACCACAGCCCACACTTGTCCTATTGCTACCCTGATGCTTCCGAGCTCCCCTTCTTACTCACCACGGGGATTGCTTTAAGAGTACTCGGGTGTCCTCCAGCTAGTTCCACATTCTCCAATCGTTGCTCCAGCGATCCTTTGACCTGTATTTGAGCCCCCATTAATGGGCACCACTTGCTGAGACCAGGTCGGTTGGAGAGACCCTAACCCAGCAGCACTAGAGGAATTAAAGACACACACAGAAATATAGAGGTGTGAAGTGGGAAAATGGGGGGGGGGGTGTCTTACAGCCTTCAGAGCAGGGCCCTGAACAGAGATTTACCCACGTATTTATTAACAGCAAGCCAGTCATTAGCATTGTTTCTATAGATATTAGATTAACTAAAAGTATCCCTTATTCTTAAGGCACAGATCACTCATGCTATTGTTTGTGGCTTAAGAATGCCTTTAAGTGGATTTCCACCCTGGACGGGCCAGGTATTCCTTGTTCTCATTCCAGTAAACCCACAACCTTCCAGCGTGGGTGTTATGGCCATCATGAACATGTCACAGTGCTGCAGAGATTTTGTTTATGGCCAGTTTTGGGGCCAGTTTATGGCCGGATTTGGGGAGGCTTGTTCCCAACAGTTCCTCAGGGTAAGGGTGCCCTAACTCCTGTGGGGACCTTCTTTCATGGCTCCCCAGGAAGTAAGGAGATGGGAATTGTGCTGTAGAGGTCTACAGCAGCACTGCTTGCTGAGGTGGGGGACAATTGCTGTACATTTGTAAGGGCAGTGGCTGTGCTGGGTATGCCTCAGTTTGTTGAGGGGCTTGAGGCGGGTCCCCCTTCCTATTTCCTGAAAGAGGTTGTCCATCTTTGCTAAATTTAGAATGACACGGACTTGCCCAGTGATTGCCTTTCTTACACCAGGGACGTACATTGGGACTTTTCTGTTGATTGATGGTAGTAGTTTTCGTCTTTTGAATTCCTTTCTACATTTCTTTCTTGTGTCCAATTTGCCCACAATTAAGGCAAGAGCCTGAGAAATGAAGCATATTTTTTCTTACTCTTAATCTAGCCACAGCCTGAGCTAAAAGAATAACCTTATGTAAGTTATCTCCAATGCCATCGCAAGCCTTAATATATTTAGTTAAATGGGCCCTCTCTGTCTGGGATCTAATAGCAGTTTGACACTCTGCATTAGCATTATTGTATGCAAGAAGCTGTATTACAACATCCTGAGCTGTTTTGATCATTTACGGCTTTATACACAGCCTCTTGGAGCTGAGCAATAAAATTAATATATGGTTCTTTAGGTCCTTGTCAGACAGAACTGAAATAAGGATACTTTTCCCCTGTAACATTTATCCTTTTCTATGCATGTAAGCACATGAAGCACAGCTGAACAATGGCAACATCTTCCATTAGTGCTTGATTCTCTAATCAACCCCAGTTAGGGCCAACTCACATTAACTGATCAAAGAAAACAGGCACAGGTGGCTGCACTTGTGTGTTTTCTTTTGCCTGAGTTTGATCTTCATCAGCCTACCAAGTTTTAAACTGCAAGTACTGAGATGGAGTGAGAACAGGTTTTGTCAAAGTATCCTTATTATATGGTAGTAATCCATTATCAAGAGCCATATTTTTAAATAAAGTTTGCAAAAAAAGAGAGTTCAATCCATATTGACTAATGGCTTGCTTAAATTCTTTAGTAACTTAAAAGAGAAAGCAGCCTAATTAGCTATATTCTGTCCTACTTGCTGGATTATCGTAACGGGAAATTGCCATGCTTCAAGGTCTCCCTTGGCTTTAGCTTTTTGAATAGAATTTTGTCTACCACCACCAATTGATCCAGGTTTTAATGTTGTAACTACAGGAGCAGTAAGTTTTTCAGCTAATTTATTTTCTCACCCATTTAGAGGAGAGAGAGGAGGTGGCCATTCACTTAATTCAGCAGGTGGAGCCAACGGGCTAGTAAAACATACTTTTTAAAGTTTTTCTTTCTTTTCTTTAATCTCCTCTGGTAGCTGCTCCCCACACTCAGAATTTGAAGTTAGTTTTTTACACTCATCCTCCTCTTCCTCATCTGAGTCTGCCTCATCATCTGTTTGAAATGGCTCAAGGGCTGCCTTTATTAGTGCCCACACTGACCATACAGAAACTAGAATTTCTGCTCCATCTTTATATGCCTTTTAAAAAATCTCTTCCAATTCTCTCCCATTCATCCAACTTCATAGTCCTTTGTTCTGGAAACCATGGGCAAAACTGCTTTACTGTACTAAAGAGTGATAACAAATTCTAAGTACTAAATTTCATTCCCCATCTTTGTATGTCCTCGGGTGTCTTTTGATGTTGTGTCCTCTGCTTTCACATGCTCCAGCCTTCCTTCACCGGGTCTTTGTCACCCCATGTTGGGCGCCAGGAATGTTGGGGTGATCAGACCCAACACTAGGTCATGGGGGTGATGAAGTCCGGCAGAGTCAAAGGAATGAGAAAAGGACAGTTTGAGAGAGAAAGTGGGACCAGGAGACCATCACGAGTGTGGAGTCTGCAAAGTCCCCAAGCTCTGGGAGCCCACGCTATTTGTTGGTGCTCAAACAAACAGGTGGTGAGGATTTAGGGGTTGAAAGGAAACGGTGTATCAAGTGAATGAGAAACATATGGCCCTGCCTCAGCTTCTCTTCCAACACTCAGCTTTTCTCCCAACACATTCCCCTTATGAACAGGAATAAAATAGGGATGGCTGTTCTCACCACTCCTGTTTAACAAGTCCTAGCCAGAGCAATCAGGCAAGAGAAAGCGATAAAAGGCATCCAAATAAGAAATGAAGTCAAATTATCTCTCTTCACTGATGATATGATTCTACACCTAGAAATCCCTAAAGACTGTGCCAAAAGGCTCCTAGAACTGATAAAAAAAAGTCTTCAGCAAACTTTCAGGATTAAAAAAAACAACATATAGAAAGAAGTATCATTTCTGTACACCAAAAATGTTTAAACTGAGAGGTAAATCAAGAGTGCAATCCTGTTTACAACAGCAACCCCCAAAAGAAAAGAAAAGAAAAGAAGAATATGTCTAAGCAAGGAGGTAAATGATATCTAAAAGGAGAACTACAAAACACTGCAGAAAAAAATCATAGATGACAAAGCAAATGGAAAACTATTCCATGCTCATGGATTAGAAAGATCAATATTGTTAAAATGGCTATACTGCCAAAAGCAATCTACACATTCAACACTATTCCTATGAAACAACCCATGTCGTTTTTCACAGAATTAGAAAAAAATATATTCTAAATTTCATATGGATTTTTAAAGAGCCCAGACAACCAAAGGAAACCTAAGCAAGAAGAACAAAGCTGGAGACATCACATTACTTGACTTCATACTATACCCTAAGGCCACAATAGACAAAATAGCATGGTAGCGATATGAAAACAGACACAAAGACCAATGAAACAGAATAGAGAACCCCAAAATAAACATGCACCTACAGCCATCAGCTTTCCCAGGATAACACAAAGAGAGCCATGTGGCACCTGCACATTACACTGTGGAAGAAAAAACCAAGCTCAAGAAACCCCAACTTGTATTATGGGAAGTTCACTTGGCTGTACCCTTCCCAAGAGGGAGAAATTATCTGCATTATACTAGACAGTAAATAAACTTTTCCTTTGTTCCAGAAGGAGGTACTGGTTTTCTATTCCAAGGCTGTTTTCTATACAAACATGCTTGAAAACAATCATTTGGAACAAGAAAGTCAGCGTCCATACTTGCAAAATGTGCAGAAATTAAAGAGACAAAAAAACTGTTTCTCTACCAATTTCTATTTTTTTAAAATCACATTTTCCCCATATAATATGCTTTTAATATGTGATAATATTCTGAAATTGTCTTAGCATTTACCCCCATTTCTGAGTCCAGAAGGATACAATAAATTTAATTTAATTTAGTAACACTTCAAATAGTAGTGATTGTAATAGCAGAGCTAGTTTGTAGCATAAAGAAAAAATAATAATATTATTAGGTGACACAAATAATGCTAGCCACCATTTCTAAGTGTCATGGTAAGTACAGTGATTATTTTCTTTTTTTCTGACTCTTTTTTATTGTATTTTTTATTTTTTTTCCCATAGGTTATTGGGGTACGGTGGTATTTGGTTCCATGAATAACTTCTTTACTGGTTATTTTTGAGATTTGGGTGCACCCATCACCCGAGCAGTGTACACTGCACCTTATTTGTTATCTTTTATCCCTTGCCCCCCACCCTATTAAATAATAGACAAAAAATAATGGGTTTAGAATAAATGAGTTCAAATGAATTGTCAAACTTATGTGGGAAAAGTGGAATCAGTTTGTGAGAAAAAGCAAAAAACTCAACAGAAATGCTGATAAAGCATCATCCCTTCATGGCTAGAGCTGCCAGGACACTAGAACACCAAAATCAGCTAGGGAAATTTTGTAGAAGTCCCAGATGTACTAAATGTTCTGTGAATACACAGAGATATAATTATAACTGTTACCTGCATGTAGAGTAAAGATGAGAAGGCATTGGTCATGGTGGCAGCTACCTCAGGAGTTACAAAGCAGACGTGGTTCCAGGACAGTGTATGTCAGGGCAAAGCTGTCCTAGGAGGCTATTAGGAGTTGGTTACGGCACAGACATTGTAAGTCAGATGGTCTCATTACTTTCAATGACAAAACCAAAATTACTTTTGCATCAGCCAATACAACGGCCTGGCAAGAGCACAGAAAAAGGCCCTGTGCTGTTAGGTGGGGACCTCTGATGCAGCACAATTCCTTCATCCCCTTCTCCGAAACCCCCTCTTCCATTCCACTGAAGAGAGAATCTGATGGAAGTGCTGTGTAAGCAGGCTCAGATATATCTACCACTATAGATAGTAGAGGTGATTCATAAATCCAAGCCTATCAAATACATCATAAATAAGTTACACGTTTAATTTTTTTTTTGAAATTAGGGATCATGATATAAAAGTTATCAGAATCAAAACTGTCGGTAATCTTTAAAAAGAAAAGAAAAAACCTGAACAAATAGATTCAGAGAAGGCCTTGAAGAGAGGGTTCTCATGCTTCTAGGCCTGATACAAACTGTCACAAAATACCGCAAAATCCACAACCTTGCACAAAGGCCATAGCAACCTTACACAAAATACACTTCTGTGAGGACATCTATCCAGCAACCACTTGCTCAAACTTCAACTGACATCGACCTTGTTGTTGATCTTTATAGTCAAAGATAACTATAACAAAACAATTATATAAGCCTGTTCATTTTTCCTTTATTTATTTTTTTCTACTCCCCCATAATTCCAGGTTGATCGCTTTTCTTTTAAAGACCTTGTCTTCCTTTACCATTTGAATCTACACAGTTTGCTTTGTCATGCATATTCCCATTGCAGTGCCCTCCTCCCTAAGATGTGTCTTTTTCCTTTAGAGAACCTTTCTCTGTTTGTTATTTAGGTTTACAATGAGAAAGCGTGTAAAGTAATTTTACTGTCTTCCTAGGAAAAAATCACTGACTTACAATATTTATATTTACTTATTTACATTCCTGGGGATGAGGAATTAAAGATTTCACAAATTTTCTTATTGAGAATATCGAAGTTTTCATGTGAGCAAAACTGAATATGTAAATTGATATGTAAATTATGCTGCAGATAATATGCTCAAATGTTTACTTGTATTTAATTTGTTACACATGAATATTGCATATGTAAGATAATATGCTAAGAAATTATCACATTTAATGAAATGCTTTAATCAAATTCCTGATTGAATTTTTGATATCAATATCTTTTTCCTTGTTTAATCCATCTTTAGAGTGAACAGGGCTGTCTAGGCCAAAGTCCTCACTTCTATCTAAATTGTCTGAGTTACAGAACTTTTTGAATTTATTATGTTGTCACAGGAAGTTTCTTATTGCTTGTTTAAAGGAGTCGCTCTCAATATGATGCGGAATCCAAAAGCACTGAAGGGCATATACCCTGAGTTTCTGTTACTGAAGCCAAAGGTTGCCAATTTCTTGTAGATCCTTCTAGAGTTAAACTTCATTTAAGTATTCATTAAAAGCTGCATTTATTCCCTCACTTGAACTTTTGATTTCACACTATTAGGACTAATCCTCTAAGTCTTTGCTAAGTTATGTTCCTTCTTTTCTTGTGGCTTGACTCTGATGCTCTCTATATGCAACATCAATTGATGTAAAGTACATTCAGGGCAATAGAGTTTCTTTAAATATTACTTTGTTATTCAAAATAATCACAAAGCACTCATCGTAGGAAAACTTGGAGGACTCAAATATAGGGAAATACTTTTTCTTTCTAAGGCACAATTCTCTAAAGAAGTTCACCTTAACTTGAATATACATGGGAAAATATCCTTGTTCACTAATAGTCTATATTCACTCTGTTTTCTTCCCTCATAGACCAGCCGGTTCACTATTATTCTCCAAATGATGTGTGCCTCTCTAGAGTCCAGGCTATCTGCATATCTAATTTTTCCCACAAATTACTGTTTTGAATTGCACTGAATTCAATTCAAGGGGATGTCATTTATAAACAGTGCAAATATATACTGCACGAGGGATCTTAGAAATCATACACATGGTTTGATCCATAAGCTCATATGAGCATGCAATGTCAACTTTTTTCATGTTTTTTTAAGTCCACTTAAATTCTATTTTAAGCCACCATCTGCCTGTGCTGTTAGGGCAGTTAGCCTTCAATCATTTTAAGATGCTCCCCTCTAAGTACCATGATAGTGATAGAGATATCACCAGTCAGGTGTCCTAGGAAGCCGATTCCGAGTTGGAGATTTGCATGCAAGGAGGTTGAAATGATATTCCCAACACCTGTGGAAGAGTGAAAGCAATAGGATTGGGCGGAGCAGGAAGTCGGCTGGAATGCAATCACTATCATGGCCGCAGTCCACTCTACAGGGATCTTGGTGAGTTTACCTAATGACCTCGAATTGGAGCAAGAAAACCAGGCCATTATATTTCTGTACCAAGCAGTTCTCGGATGTGGGATGCCTTGAGAAGGGACATGAACTTGGATGAAGGAACTTTACTGTGCTGTGAGTGTTGTTGCCAGGAGTCATCTGTCAACACTCCCAGGAGACGGGAAATTATGCTTTAGTCACTGAGGCGGCATCTAGTGTCAGACCGCAGCCTTGTTAAACAGAGCCAGATTTTGGAGGATGGATGGTGGGTTTAACATTTGGGGCTTGACGTCTTGCCCCCACAAGCTGCTGCTGGCCTCTTCCTTGTCCATTTCTGTGTGGCTTGTTTAGGCCCCCCAGCTTCCTGCTTCTTCTTTACCATATTTGGAATGCAAAAATCTACACGTAATTTGGCCCATGGTCCCTTCTGCTTAGACATATCCTTGTAGCTATTTTTTTTTAAAGATGACTATGCCTTCTAGAATATTTCTAAGAAATTGCCTAAGTCACCACTGCTCACCAAGAGGCCTTTGTTTTTTCCTCTTCTTAACCATGGGAAAGGAATGTAGGAGGGTAGGGAGTGGATATTTTCTAACCTGGAAAAAACTCATTTTACCCTATATAATTTTTGTTAGCAAATTCCTTCTTTGCACTTACTCCACAATCTTTCCAAATTCTCCCAAATGCTCAAGCTTTTAAAAAACAAAAGACAGAAAGATAGCAGGTTATTAGGTTTTCCACCAAACCTTTTCTTTCTATTCCTTTACATCAGTGAGCTTAGAATAACTCTGCTCCTGGAACTGGGAAAGGGACTTGGGAAAAGAAAGGAAAAAAAAGCTCTCAAAGTTTAACATCACAAAACATTATAGTCACTGCTATTTTATTATTTATTTATTTATTTATTTATTTACTTTTGAGATGGAGTCTTGTTCTGTCACCAGGCTGGAGTGCAGTGGTGCGATCTCTGCTCACTGCAACCTCTGTGTCCTGGGTTCAAGTGATTCTCTTGCCTCAGCCTACTGAGTAGCTGGGACTACAGGCTTGTGCCACCACACCCAGCTAATTTTTGTATTTTTAGTAGAGATGGGGTTTCACCGTGTTAGCCAGGATGATCTCGATCTCCTGAATCTGTGATCCGCCCGCCTTGGCCTCCCAAAGTGCTGGGATTACAGGCATGAGCCACCGTGAGTGACCCTGCTTTGTAAGTTTTACATCATATATCCCCTGTGTTAGACCAAGAGCTTGTAAAAGCCAGAAGACATACACCATTTATAGTTCAATTAGAGATGTTCACTGATAAAACTGATTCTTCCATCTGAGGGTGGTATTTGTAGTTACAGTAATGTAGATGACAATCTAAGTTATGTTCTATAAACTGTGTCACTGACATCTCAATCTACAGCTAACTTTAATTTTTTAAAAGCAGAGGAGTGGGTTGTATAGGTATAGAAATACATCCATCAAGCTAGTTAAGTGAGATGGATTCAAGCCTTCAACTCACTGGAATATTTACCAAATTGACTATTCATTAGCTAAAAGAGCCATATAAACAAGGTACTTTTTAAAATTCAAAATTATGTAAGGTTTTATTTCCTTTTTATGTTGTTATGAATTGGATTGTAGAGGTTATAAGGTAAAATAAGATTACTTTTACAGTAAAACATACAACATATTGTCACAAGAGGGCAGCCTTTGAACACGAATTGCTTCTCAGACATTCCTTGAAATTTTGAGACAGTTACTTAACACAACAAAATAATAAAACACTACAGAAGATCTAAGAAGATACTTTGACTTATGCATATTGTTACTTTTTTATTACTGCTAGTGGAAGATGTAATCGACAAGGAAGGTAAGGGCTGAATTTGTTTTATGTAAAAAGACAAATTTCTTTGGGTTTTAGCTTTCAAACATCAAGATAGTAGGTCAATGTCTAAATGAGTGTATCAAAGTTCTCACTATGGCACATGGAAATCCACCTCTTGTCTACCCAAAACTCTAACCAAGCAAAGGCAACTTGGAAGATTCAGACAAATGTAAGTGCCTAGGATACATAAATGCCACGGGATTTTATGTTTTTAACTTTCAACCTCCTAAGTTTCACTAAGAGACATGTTGTTTGGAGAGGTTGCTAAAGTGTATTTGAATGATGTCTCTGTTTACGGTTGGTCTGGACCTCTTGCTGTCCAGTGGTTGCCCTCAACTGATGAGAGTCACCTCTCTAAAGATCATGCTTACGTCCCTGGAGCAGTCCACAGCACTATCAATGTCTGACGTCCACCTTTTTCCAATTAATATTTCTGTACTTACTGAATTGGAAAACATACAGGTGTTTTTTGCCTGGTCACTTGTGGTTTTACAACACTCCCCCCACTTCCCCACCACTGCCCCAGGTGATTTTGATGCCAGCCAAAGTGTGAGAACTACTGGCAGCTGCTGGCAGAGAGCAGCAAAGGCCCAAATCCTGTGTGATTTAAAGACCAGTATCTGGTTTTCAGCCATATTTCCTTCTCCTTCTCACAGCTGAGTCCACTCCTCCTCCCTCACCACCTGTAGGCTATGCTTTCCAGCCTGTGTCCAGGATTAGTCCTGATGTAAGGCACGTGGGGTTTAAGGAACTCTCTCTTCAGTCTTATTTCCGCACAATCTCTGAAAGATATATTCCAGTTGTAATCATGGGGCTACCTCCTCTTGTTTCCAGTCCCATGCTCGTTTTCTCTATCACATTCTACCTTGTAATAACCTAAATCTTCTGGTGGGCAAGCTTCTTCCTCAATCAAATTTGTGTTTATGATTGTGTTGGGGATTGGCATAGTAATCCAGGTACTGCTACTGCCTTGAAAGCGGAGACTGCATCCTTCTGTCTGGATATCTTGAGTTTCTGGATTGTAAACCTTATTAGGGTCCATTTTTCCTAGAATTGGAGCCTGTACTTTGTTCTTGCTACTTTAGTTCACCCAGAAAGCACGATCTCTGCCTGAATTTCAAAGTGTTGGCTAGTTTAAATATCCTTTTGTGAGACTTTTGTCTTCCTGCGGGGTGATTTTTTTATCTTACCTATCATTGCTAATCTTTTTACCTTGAATGTAATTGAAATAGTTTTAATCTGTGTTACCAGCAACAAGAACCCCTTTTATGAGATGAAGAGGCCAGGTCAGTCTCATAACGTGTGTCCCCCTCCGTGTGTTGAATTTATGTCAGAGCCAGGTTCTTTCCTATTTGATGTCTCTCACCAAATTCCAGTGTTTATGTCCTAGGAGGTGCCCAATAAATTCTAGAGTTGATACAAGCTGTAATTTTAGAGAAATTAAATTAGCAAGTAGATTTAGATTATATACAACCTAATCAACTTTTTTTTTTTTCCTGAGGATGACCAAGATTTGGGCTTCAGTGACAATAGTTATCCCCTAAATATTTATACTCAATCTAGGATCACCAGTAAAATGTTGAATAGAGATGATGAACACACACATCCTTTTCTTGTCCTAATCTATGTGGTTTAAACATTTACGCTTTCACAATTAAATATAATATTGTTTATATGTTTTGTTGTGGTTGCTTTCCACCACTTCGAGAAAATTTCTTTTTCTAGCTTGCTGAGAGTTTTTTTTTTTTTTTTAATCAGCAATAGATATTTCTCCAAAGAAAATATACAAATTACCAACAGGTACATGAAAAAAATGCTCAGCATCACTAATCATCAGGGAAATGCAAATCAAAACCACAAAGAGATATTGCCTCAAGCCTGTTAGAATGGTCTTATTAAAAGAAAAAGATAACGAGTGTTAACAATGGGGAGAAATTGGAACACTTGTACAGTGTTTCTGGGAAAGTAAAACTGTGCAGCCTCTATGGAAAACAGTACAGTGGTTCCTCAAAAAAAATTAAGAAAGTAGAACTACCATATGATCTAGCAATCTCACTTCAGGTTATTTATCTGAAAGAATTGAGATTGGGATGATTCTCAGGCTCATTGCAGCATTATTTACACTAATCAAAATGTGGAAATAAGGTTAATGTCTATTGGCAGATGAATAGATAAAGAAAATGTGGTATATTCATACAACGGAATATTACTCAGCTTTAAAACAAGAAAATCTGGCAATATGCAACATGGATGAACCTAGAGAACATTAATGCTAAGTAAAGTAAATCAGTCACAGAAGGACAAACTGTATGATTCCACTTGTATAAAGTATCTAAGATAGCCAAATTCATTAGAATCACAGATTAGAATGGTGATAGCCCCTTAAGTTGAAATCAATTTTGCATTCCTGGGTTTTGTAGTTTTGCTATCAGGATTCTGACTCATAAAACAAGTTTGGAATTTCCCCCTTCTTCTGAAATAATTTAAAAATTTTATTTTTTTAAAACGTTTGAAAGAATTCACCAGCAAAACTCTTTGGATGTGGAGTTTGCTTATTTTTTTATTACTTTAGTTTTATGTCTTTATGTGCAGGTATTTGACAATTTAATTACTTTAATAAATGTCAATTACTTCATATATTCCATTTAATCTTGTGAATTTTTATAAGTTTTTTTCAAGGAATTCACCCTTTCATCCAAGTAATGAAAATTAGTATAAAATGTTTCACAATATTCCATTATCTTGTTAATGTCTCTTGTGTCTACAACTGTACAATCTCATTAATCCCTGATATTTATAATTTGCGTTTTCTTTCTTTGTCACAGAACTAACTTTTGGCCATGTTAATTTTCTCCTGTGTCTGTTTTCTGTCTCATTGATTTCTAATTTCTGTTTTATTTTCTTTCTTCTACTTGTTTTGGACTTAATTTGCTCTCTTGCTTTAGATTTTCTTTTTAAGGTAGAAAATTAGTTCACTTGTTTTGAACTTCTCTTTTTTAGAATAAGCATTTATACAAAAAATTTACTGTGGGTCTGCTTAACTTTATCCCACATATTTTGATAGAGCATATTTTTATTTGTATTCAGTTCAATGTATTTTAAGGTGTTTCTTATGATTTCTTCCTTGAGCTAAAGGGCATTTTAAGGTGTATTTAAATCTTCCAATAGTGTAGACTTTCCTGGGTAGCTTGTTTTAACCCATTTCAACTCATTTTCATTATGGTCAGAAAGCATACTTTCTATGATTACAGTGTTTTGAAACTTCTTGAGAGATATTTTGTGGTCTATAGCCTATTGATAAATGTTTCATGTGTAGCATAATAGAACATATATTCTATTTTCTTGGTCAATATCGGTTAGGTCAGGGTGTTGTCAAAATTATTTTACCTTAACTTTCTTTAGTTATTCTATCAGCAACACGGCATTATGTCTTCATAATTACTTGACATTTTATCATTATGAAATAGCTTTCTGTTGTAATATTGCTTGTTTGGAGGTCTACTTTTTCTTATATTAATATAGCCACATAAGATTTCTTGTGCTTGTTGTTTTCTTGGTATACTTGGAAATTATTTAACTCTCAACATATCTATACCATAATATTTGGCATGCATCTCTTATAGGTACTTTTATTATATAGTTGGACAATCTGTGTTTTATTTGGAGTATTTAAATTACGTTTGAAATAATTATTGATAAGGTTGGAGTTAAGCCTACTATTTTTGCTTTTTTTTTTTTTTTTTTTTTGAGACGGAGTCTGGCCCTGTCGCCCAGGCTGGAGTGCAGTGGCGGGATCTCGCCTCACTGCAAGCTCTGCCTCCCGGATTCATGCCATTTTCCTGCCTCAGCATCCGGAGTAGCTGGGACTACAAGTGCCCACCACCATGCCCGGCTAATTTTTGCATTTTTAGTAGAGATGGGGTTTCACCGTGTTAGCCAGGATGGTCTCGATCTCCTGACCTCGTGATCCACTCGCCTCGGCCTCCCAAAGTGCTGGGATTACAGGCTGAGCCACCGCGCCCAGCCTATTTTGCTCTTATCTTCTATTTGTTCCATCATTTTTTGCTCCTCTGTTCTTTCTTTCATGCCTTTTTATATTAACTGAACAATATTCAGCGTTCCATTTTAATTCCTTTATTGGCATTTTAGAAGAATATCTTCATATAATGTGGTGGTTCTCTAGGGATTGTAATAAACATCCTGGGCTTATCGCAGTCCGCTTACTGTTAATAGTCAACGTTTTCATGTAACATAAAGAAAAGTTTTGGCAAACTTGTTGCTTTTAGTCTCCTGTCAGAGCTATTAATTTAGAATATTTTACTCTACATACATTATCAATAGTACTCTTAATTTTTTATTTAAACCATCAGTTGTTTGTTATAAAACTAAAAGAAAAAAGCCTTAGTTTTTCCTGTTTATGCACATGCCATTCCTAGAGCTTCTCCTTGCTTCCTGTAGGTCAGAATTTCCATCTGTTGTTATCTTTCTTTAGTCTAAAAAATTTCCGTTTGCATTTCTTGTATCTAGGTCTGCTAATGACAATTGTTCAAAGCTTTCTTTTATCTGAATAAATCTTTATTTTCTCAAGAATTACTTTTTCTAGTTATAGAATTTGGAGTTGACAGTTTTTTTTATTTTGAAGATGTAGTTTCATTGCTTTTTAAAGTGTCACTTCTGATGACAGGTCATCTGTCTATTTGTTTCCAAGTATGTAAATTATTTTCTCCCTCCCTTTAGCTACTTTCAAGATTTACTCTTTTTTTGCCCAGTGGTTTGACTATGGTATGTCTACATTTGGTTCTCTATATTTTTATTCTGTTCTTAGAGTTTCTTAAACCTGTAAGTTGATATATGCTGACAATTAGGAAAAGTTTTGGTCTTTACTTTTTCAAATACCTTTTTTTGTCTTATTTTCTTCTCTACTCTTTCTAGGAGTCCAATTATATTAGTGCTAGACTGGTCATATTTTTATTATTTTTCTCCTTTGTATTAACTGTATTGAGAAATTGTTCTTGATCTGTTTTTAAGTGCACTGATAGTTTTTTCTGCCATCTTTCATTTACTGGTATGTGCATAAAATGACTATTTTATATAAGATATTCTCTCTCTCAGTTCTAAAATTTGTCCTATTATCCCTTTATCATTTTTACTTCTCTGTTGAGATTCTCCATATATTCCCTCTTACTACCATCTATTCCTTAAATCCTTGAATATGCTTATAATAGCTTATTTCAAATTTCTTATCTTCTAATTCCAGCATGTGGGCCATTTCAATGTCTTAATCCATTGTTTACTTTTTTTATTATGTGTCATATTTTCCTGGTTCTATGTCTAGGCAGGTTAAATTATATCTTAGATTATGTGTATGATATTTTGTAGAGATAGGCTCTTTTATTTTCCTTTGAAGAGTGACTCTTTTCTAACATTAGTCTTCTTTCTGTAGTCAAACACCAAACTTTCACTCCTGAGCTATATGCAATGGTTGAAATCTCTGCTCTGTACTAGCAATTTAGCTGTTGTTTTCTGCTGGATTCTATGGAGTCTCTTTTATGAATGTGAAATGTAGCAGCCATCATATATCTGAATGAAGTTTAAGTGCTGATTTTAGATTTTTACTCTGTGACATTCTCCTCTGTGACTTTCAGTTGTGTGAGATTTCTCCCATGTCATTCAAATTTCCCAGTTCTTCTTTTCTGTCAGCCTGGAACTCTGTACTCTTATTCCTCAGGCTAGTAAAACTCACGGCTTTACTCTTAGACATCTAATTTTGCACAGACTGGGAAGTGTCATCAGGTGTGAAGTTACATTGATGCAAATTTAAATCATTGCAATTTTCTTTATTCAGTGGTCAAATACTTCATCAGTGGTTGAATATTCTACTATTTCTGCCTGTTTTCTGTTTCTCATTACCATCAAATGTGTATTTAATTTTTTTTAGAGTTAATAGTTTTTTTTCCCTGCATTTGAGTTAGACCTGAGCTACTACCACATTTTGTAATTCAAACTTTTTGTCTAACAATGTTTTAAAAAACTCTTTATTTGGAGGGAATTCTCAAATTTCTAAATACTCTACAAACATTAGGATCAGGGCTCACATTCACAGTTTCCCTTGTAGCCAGATGTGCATATGGAACATGGCCTCAGCTAATGAAGCATACCCACATATTTGAAAGTAAGAAAAGTGTTAAGAGGAACTGTAGATATCATTTTAGTTGACGCAAGGATGGAAAAAAAAATAACCAACTTTCACTGGTGAACTTTGTCTTCAATCATTGTTTTCCTGTGGGTAAGTGGCTAATTTTCTGGCCTAGAGGTGGAATTGGTGTGTTGGTAACAATTGATTTGATGATAACCTGCTTTTGTCTTTTTAAAAATTGTGAATCCACCATTGTTTCTGGTCCTGTTTTATACTTATGCAGTGTATAATCTCTCATGCAAAATTTAGTTCTTTGTTTCTCAGCTTAAACTGGATTTTGATGAGCAGTTTTCACCTTCAAATGAAAGAAATGGCTTTGGTTGATGTTAGACAAAAATAACAAGAAGGAATTAAAGAAATATGTTTGTCATCTTGTAACATTAAATAAATGAAACTGAAAATTCAACAATTCTGCTTCATAAAAAATAGAAAGTTTCTACTGTTTTTCATTATTTTCAAAGCTATATCATTAAATGAAATTTCTGCCTCATGGAAGGTTTTTAGAACTATGTAATAATACCATACAGACCATTAGGAGAGAAATGAATAAAGACTGAAAGAAGTAAGCACTGTGTGGTAACATAGATGGCGCACAGTTGTGTGCATGGAGCCCTAATACATTTGACCATGGAATTTATACAATAAATGTCAGTTTCCTGTGAACCTGCTAATTAATATGACTTTCTCAGACATTTCCTTAACCTAAACTGTTTAGGTTTCCTGTCGACAGACTGCATGTATTCTCACCTTTAACCTTTCCATAATCTTCCGTAATTACAGATGTCATTGGTTCTTAATAGCAAAAGAACAGCAGTAGCTTATAAAGTTATATTATTTGTTTTTTACTAATATGTGAAGTGATTATGTCTTTCATTTCACCTCTAGAGCTAATTATGTCTTCTAGGTTAACAAAAATTCCAGATCAAACCATCATTAGTTTAAACTTTACAATGAAATCATTATTTCCATTTATTACTAGCCTGCATTATAGCAATATTTAGCTAATGAATTCTCAAAATATTTCTTGAAAGGTGAAAGAGTACCTCAAGTAAATGGTGTAATTAATTTATTTATCAGAATTTTAAATTAAGTGTTCTGTTTAATCTCAAAGGGGTACCAATGAAGTCAGGGCATAAGGACTTTGTGGTTAATAAAATGGCAAGAATTAAAAAGGATTATTACATTTTTCCTCATACTATGATGGCTATAATTTTTTAAAACAGTAGAAATGTTTAATTTTTAAAGGCTACTAGTGTCTATTTCATTCAAAGATATGAGCTCTTCAGTTCAACTTGTTGTTTGAAATTTGAACAGCTTTTTCTTGCTCTTGTTCAATACAGTTATTTAACAGTCCAGGCAGGCCTCCGGAGTTACATATATGTATGTGGCTATGTGTGTATATATACATAGAAGTACAAATAGCATATAAACAATTTACATAAGACTTGTGCTTTTGATGAAAATTCTTCTAAAGGTGAATATAAATTAATAGCATATGGGGCCTACAAAAATTGTCTAATAGGGAACTAGGAAAAGATAATTTGTGAAGAAAAAGTTTGCTAAAACAGACTTTTTATTTTTACATGTAATAACTTTATATTGAAGGGTTTCCAGAAATATAAAATGTTATAGGGCACTTATCCTGAGACACACGAAGGAGACAAGGGATAGAGCTAGGATGGAAGTGAAAATAAAGGACAAATAGAGATAGATACTTAAGTGGAAATGAAACACTGCATGTTCTCACTCATAGGTGGGAATTGAACAATGAGAACACATGCACACAGGAAGGGGAACATCACACACCAGGGCCTGTTGTGGGGTGGGGAGAGGGGGTAGGGATAGCATTAGGAGATATACCTAATGCTAAATGACGAGTTAATGGGTGCAGCACACCAACATGGCACATGTATACATATGTAACTAAACTGCACGTTGTGCACATGTGCCCTAAAACTTAAAGTATATAAAAAAAAAAATCATCAAACAGGTGGTAATTTCAAAACATGGCTTTTCCAGGCAGCACATTTTCTGAATGTATCGCAAAAGAAGATAAATTGCATGTCTATGTAGATCATGTCAATGAAATAAACAATAAAGTTACTTATTGGAATATTGAAAGTGGTTGATAATAAATAAATTATTTATATTTATGGTAAAAGCAATAAACTTGATTTTTAGGGGGTTCAATGACTTCCTGAAAATATCCTCTCACAGATTTTCTCAGAGTGTCTAGTTGGCAAAAGCACAGCTCCAAATAGCTATTTCTGTCAACGTCTACAGAACATTTACAGTTTGATTTCCAAAAGTTTCCATTTCTACTGACCTTACAAATTTGTAAAGTGAATGCCCACCAGGACAAAATATTAAGTGATAAAATTAATTGGATCCTACAAGTGAAAATCTAGGCAAGGAAAATCTTCTTCCTTCTTAATGAATGATTTTTATGTCTCTTCATTCTTGTCCTTCTAGGTAGAGCAACACTCTGGAGACCTTCTTTTGAGGCATTTCACCACCAGAGTAAGTGTGATGTGTGAGTAATTAGTCTACCCACAGGGAGCTGGTGAAATTAAATTGGAAGTTATTTCCTAACTGGCATATCCTGGAGTAAAATTAATCTAATAACAGCTTTCATAAGAGAGCATAAGCTTAAAAGACAACATTTTTCATTCAACTTTACCAAACAAAGTGCAAATTTAGGTGTCCAGTTGTGAAGTTTTGTTGTGTGTGGATTGTACAGTGAAGGTACCAGTGGACAACAGTTGCTCATCAAGCAAGTTTATACAAAAGCTTTCGGATAAGTCCAACTCTAGATAAAATTCGAAAGTATTTCATGCTTGTGTTCAGAGTTTCTTTTTCTCTCTCCAAGGTAACCCACATATCAAAAGACATATGGGTTGTGGGTAGAACTTCCTAAAATTGCTGTTGAGAAGTGTGCCATGTATAAGCATACTTCACTAGCTTGAATTTTCTGTTAGTCTCACAGGCAACAATTACAATCCTGTATGTTTTTCTATCTCCACACACTCCTGAACATAGAAAGACCAAGTAACATCCCTGTTTAAGATGTGTACAGGTTACAAGACATGTCTAAATATATTCACCAAGAGGTTTATTATTTTCACAGTGGCATTCACTAAATCAGTTGTCAGTGTAGCATTACTCAAGGAATAAGCAGGGTCTTTAATTTATCAAAGTTTGGAGTGCACCCCAAGTTGGATCACTGAAGCACATAACTATAGATAAGATCACTCAAAAGCACAAATCCAGGTAATAAATATTCACTAGTAGTTTATATGCATTTAGCAATTTGAATGCTGGGAAGTGTAGCCCAGAAAATCAATCGACATGGAGCTATTAAAGAGGCATTCATGGCACCTGCACTTTGAATCTCTTCAGACTCAGGTTAAACAGGAGACACGGTAGCTCATGTATAGTGCAAAAACCCTTCCTCTTTCCCTTTTTATCTATGAACCTGCCCTTTTCAATGTTATCTAGATGCCTGAAGGTATGAATACCCTTGATCTTGGTAAAAAATGGTACCATCCATCAGCAAAATCTCACTGATCAGTGTCTATGTTACCTCACTGAGTTAGCCTTTTGTGTTGTTGTGGCCCAGAATGACAATGTTGACACAATCCAAACCAGTAGTTGGAAAGTTAATGTTGGATGCGTCTTTGACAATTGATGGAATGACCTGAAATCAAATGTGAGGCAGTGGAGACACAAGAATGCTATTCAGGAAGTTAGTGATCTGTGGAGATACTAAATGAAATATCTGGAAGGAAATGTAATCTTGCAACTATGCTTTTATGTGTTTTTTGACATAAACAGTTTCTATTTATGGTGGAGCTAGAGTGTCCATTTCCCATGAAGTTCCCATGGTGTTAACTAATACAGTCATGTGTCACTTAATGACAGGGGTGTGTCTGAGAAATGCATTGCTGGACAATTTTATTATTGTATGAACATCACAGAGTTTACTTACACAAACCTAGATGCTATAGCTGATTACATATCTAGGTTAGGTGGTATAGCCTATTCCTCCTAGGCTACAAACCTGTGCAGCATGTTACTGTACTGAATACTGTAGGCAATTGTAACACAACAGTTAAGTATATCTATACTTACTTATATCTATACAGTAAGTGTATCTATACATGTCTAAACATACAAGAGGTACAGTAAAAGTACAGTGTTATGATTTTATTGCACCACTGAAATACATGTGCACTATCCTTGACCAAAATGTTGTTATGTGATGCATGATTGTAACAAAAGAATTAATTAAATATAATATTGAAGTGCCTATTGAGATTTCAATGAAAAAAGGAATATTTGTAAATTCTGATTACCTTAAGTGGGAATTGACTTTATTCCTGTTTCCATGGCTGTTCTTGTGAAAGAGCATAGCTTTCCAAAGACCTGAAATCTCTGACAAATCTTGCAATTCTCTATTGCCTGCATTATGAAGGTCACCTGGTATCAAATGAGGCAAAATGGTAGATTATAAAGACCTGTACTTGTCAGTTCCTAAACATAGCAAGCCTTGGTCTATCTTGAACATTTCTGCAGTTATAAATGAGCCTTGGGTCATGATTTTCTGCCTTTTTATCAAAGACAAGATTTAATTTAGGAGATGTCCTTTTAATGTGTAATGTGAATAGTAAGTGACACTTATGAAGCCTATTTTCTTCCAGCCATTTTAATTGTCAAATCTGTCCAGTCAAGATGCATTGTTAGAGGCTTCACTGACAACACCGTCTGTGTGTGTGGGTGTGTGTGTGTGTATACATACATATGATTGAGCAGGATTTATTGTAAGTCAAAACAGTCTCAAATTTCTTAGGACAATACAGCTTCCTTGGCCATTCCCTTGGAGCTCTGAGTTGAGGAGCTGGTGATGTGTATTTCTCTGGCATGTTCTCCACATTATCCCTATGCAGGCCTTTCATGGGCTTGGTTTTGGAACCAGTGATGAGGAAGATCACTAGAATTGTTGTTCTCAAAAAGATTCCTCCATTCTTCTGTATAAGCAATGGCAATTTTCCCAGACCAATATTTCTTCTTTTGAAATGGTAAATTTTGATTATTAACTGATTAGTATAATCCCATAAAATAACAAAGTTTGAGCCCTATGATCTGTGTTTTAGGCTAAAGTTGTGTTTTATGCTAAATCATCATTTACTCCGTGTATGATCTTTTTTTTTTTTTTTTGAGACAGAGTCTCACACTGTCACTCAGGCTGGAGTGCAGTGGCACAATTTCGGCTTATGGCAAGCTCCGCCTCCCAGGTGCACACCATCCTCCTGCTTCAGCCTCCTGAGTAGCTGGGACTACAGGTGCCCACCACCACACCCAGCTAATTGTTTTTTAAGATTAAGGGTGAAATAAAAGCTGCTCCCCTATGTTACATTCATAAATCAGAATTATTAAAGCAAGCTATTTATTTATTAGAAATACATACTCCAAATTTAGCATCTAAGACATGACAGCCTTTGAAGAGACATCAATTTACTTTTTAGGGTCTATAGCTATATTTGTATTCATGTTATTGGTGTCCATAATATTTCATTAGATGTTCTAGGTAAATTGATAAATGAAAATAATGTATGTGATAAGGAGAACAACCTAGGTCTCCTGGAGGGCCCCTTACAACTCAGCTGTTGTTAGCAGAAATGCCTGGGTGTAACAGTGAGAAACAACCTTTCAAAAGTATTGAGCAATTTTTCAGGCAGAGGAATATGTATGCCAATCCAGGCAGCAAGATAAGTGGAGGTCAGTTAAAAGATCAGTGTGTGATTACAGTTTTTTTTTAGGTTTCTACTCAGAGGAAATATAACACTCAGTTATTATTTTCTCCACATATCTCTGGTTATTTTGTCACAACCTTTTATGTAAGCTACTACCAAACACTGGGTTATCCAAGATCTATGGGTCGTATTCAATATTTGCTTTTCCCTCAACTACTAACACGTTTGATTCCCTTTGTAACTTTCTCCCCTATTTCTCCTTTCAACCTGTTTTCTCCAACCACACTGAGTTAATAAGCCTCCTATATACTCTCATACCCTGTTTTATCTAAAGAGATTTCCTTTTTCTACTATTTTACCCATCTCATTCCTTAATTTATTTCTTCTTATTTCTCTCTCTATTTTTTACTCTTTTAGGCACAGCTCATGTCTCATGACTTTCAAAAAGTTTTTCTTCGATATTCCCAGCTCGAATTAGGTACATCCCAATCAGTTTCCTTAGACTTACAAGTCTGCATATTATTGGCTTGCAATCTGTCTTAGGCTGGGAATTAGCTCCTTGTAGGCAGGGGCTAGAATTTATTTCCTCTTATGTCCATAATGCCTGACACAGGAACTATTCTCACATACAAATTGTAGGGCCATAATTCCTGAGAACATATGTATATTTTAGTGACTCATAAAGGCTTGAAATACATTTTTAAAATGATTAATTGGGAAGTCCATGAACTTGACATCTTGATGTAGAAGAAAAGCAAGGGCAGATGAAGAAGTTATACAGGATACTTGAAATACCAGAAGAATATAATCAGAGAGCAATACATTAATCCTAGATTTTTAGATGTGAAGAAGTTCTGAGAAATATTTGAAGACTTGGCTCTAGGGATGAGTACATAACAGAGACCAGTAGCCAGACTCAGAGCTTTAAAGAGTGAAGAAATTGCATTGCAGGGGGAAGGACTGTTGTATACTAAATAGAAATTGTCATTAAATGGAAGACTAAGCAAGAGGCTGATGATCTGTGGATGAGAGACCAAAATGGTGTGGAGATAGAGGTAAATGCCATAATCTACAAAGAAGATATTTTTGTGCCAGAAAGAAATAATAGGTCTAGAACGTAATAAAAGATAAATAGTTAACTACGTTGTAATGTGGTCTGAGAACTCACTGAAGGCATAGCCATTGATATTAACTTCCACTTTGCTTCCAGACAAAAGATTTTAAATATCTTAAAAATTACATTTGATATTGTATGATTCATCAAGACAGAAAGCAAAGCTGTAGTTGCCCTGGGGGGGTGGGGAATGGGGAGTCACTTTTAATGGGTACAGGGTTTCAATTTTACAAGACAAAAAGAATTATGGAGATGGGTGGTGGTGATGCTTGCACAACATTGTGAATACATTTAATGACACCGAATTGTATACTTAACAGTGGTTAAGATGCAAATTGTTGAGTGTGTTTTGCCACAATTAAAAAACAGAAAACAATAGTATTTGAAGATATAGCCCATTTCATCTGGTAGCTAGCTGTATGTGTCTGCTCAGCTGTGGATAAATATTTATGCTGTTTCTGAACTGGAGGTTACTGGTATTCTCTAAGGTATAGGAAAATTGATCTTATGTGGCTAACTGAGGTGGATATAGTTGTATCAGTCAGACAGTAATGATATAATCATGATAGTTTACATTTAACACAACTTACATGTGTTATACTTTAGAAAGCACTTCATAGATATTATTAGTTCATACCATTTTCCCCTTACCATATTTGTCTCTCCTTTCTCTGCTGACTTCACAAAATGTCTGTTCCACACTACTCAGTTCATCTCCTTATTTTGTCAAAATTTTAAGTATCAGAGTCTCCAAAAAAAAATTCCAGACAAGTCTCATCAGCTTTCGGTCATTGATTAATCGATGCCCTTAGAGGCTTTCCCTTCCCCTTCTCAATTTAACATAGCTTCCCAATACACTTGCCAGTAAAACAAAGTTGTTTATATGGTTTTGTATTTCTTCCTGCTGAATTATGAACATTTTTTCATATTGACATTGATTTCCATCTGGCCATGAAATACTCAAGGTGAAGACAATGAAACAAAATTGTTAATATTTATCAAGAGCCAGGTACTGTTTTCAGTGTCCTAGAAGCATAAACTAGTGTAATGCTCACCAGCTCATATGAGAGGCAAAAATGGATGAAACTATAAAACCAAGACACAGAGAGTTAAGGGAAATTTCCCAAGATCACACAGCCACTGAGGCTATGAACTAGATTTTGACTTCAGGCTATTTACCCCAGAACCTGTGCTTTCAACCGTCATTTGTACTGCTTCCCTAAATTACACTTGACTACACTGTGACATCAAATTTCACCTATGACACTGATTATCTGGGAAACTTTGCAACTTATTCTGAATATGACTCAGTTTTCTTTTCTGTACAGAGATAAAGTCAGTATATACTCCATAGATTCGTTATAAGGATTATATGAAATGACACATGAGAAGGCTTTAAAAGGACTTGGAAAGCAATAAGCTTTTTTGTTTTCAATCATTTTTCAATAGGTTATCAGTGTTGTGAAGGGTTCATGAAAAATGACTTTGGGCTCAGTGAGTAACTGAAATGTTGTTGCTTAATAGTGTGTTTAATATTAATATAATAGTAACAAATGTTGTTATTGTTGAGTAATAGTTATTTGGCTTTTCACTGCTTTTCTTTTCTAGTGTTTTAGTCAGAGACTTCTTAAGTCTCCTCAAGTGTGTACACATTTCTTAAATTTGTTGGAAAGTACCTAATTTAAGATATCTTGCATTTTTTTCTTCCTTAGTAAACACTAAATTCCATCACGCAGCAGAAAAAGGGCTCTGTTATTGTCGGTACAATGGTTTAATATTCACTTTTATTCCCTATATCATAGTTCTCATTTAATTGCTATTTAGAATAAAACTTGTTCCTTATTATATGCATTCATAATTATAAAATTTGTGTTTTAATGCCTTCTACAAATATACTGTGCTTTTCTTTATTTCCTTATATCTTTTACTGTTGCATGATCCTGGTATTTGAAATCTCATTAAGTGTTGTTTGGGGATTTGCTGGGAATGTCATCTACATAGTAATGTCTCAAGTTTGTAACATCTTTAAAACATAATAGGAGATGGAATTCACAGCAGAGTAATAAGCCTCCCACTTTAGGCAATATATTTGTGATTGACATGACTTTGTTCCCAGAGGGCAGTTAGCAACACAATATTATGGCTATGTGTACAAGGAAAACAAATTTTAAAAATCTCCTTTAAAAAAAAACAGTTCCCAATCCTAACCAGTATCATGCACAGAATCCGTTTCCACCTCTTCATATGGAAGCAGCTCTGGGTGGATATCTAGAAAGTTGGATAACTATTTATCACATATGATCTGCAAAGGGAGAGATTTACAAGAAAGTGTTAAATTTAATCCATAGGAAAGCAAAATCAAAAATCAATGAATTTTCCATTTGTAGTTTTCCCTAGGGGCTCTACTCTCAAGATGGCTTAAATGCATTAGAATTCAATGACTAGGCAAAATTGTTTGTTAGTGACATAAAAGCAAGGTAAGCATTTCTGCTTTATGAGTCCAAGCACAGGGACACTTGGTTTTCTTTGGAAGGATATCATAAAGGCAATGTTTATGAGTAATCCCTCATTGTCTTTTCTTCTGTAGCATTCAATGCTATGTACTATAATTTAGAAATGAAAACTACTTAAAGACCACTTGCTAAGTTTCATGTATTTCAAATTCTCAGATCCTGAGTGTTTAAATATGTCAGTACTTCTTCATGAAAAAAACATAATCTTTGCCAAGTTAGAAAAAGAAAAAGTCATATTCCCATTTTTAACTAAAGGTAATCAGAAATTTGGACAGTTTTTAGCTTTCAATACATTATGTAATTTGGGTAACAGGCTGAATAAAAGTAAGGAACTTCAGTTAAATTCAGAGAGAAGCTAGTAATTATTTCTAAGACTCAAATGTATAGAACAGATCTCTGATATTAAGGATAAGACCCTCAAAGGTGACCCAAAATGGGTAATTGTGGGATTATTTTAAGAGGAATCATCATATATTCTTACTGCTATAAATACAGTCAAATGTCAGATAAATATACTCCACTGAAATGTTTTCTAGGAATGATGTTGGAACCAATGTTGGTAATTTTGAAAGTCATGGAGAGGATTTCAGATGATAGAAGTCGGGCAAATATCCCAGGTTTAATAAATAAGCAAATGGTGAGTTCCAAAGCTGCTGTATCAATGAGCCTCATATTGATCCTGAGCACAATTTCAGAAAGGTCCATTAAATGGGTCTTTGGAGAGCACTTAGGATAAAAGGCTGGCAGCAGAGATTCACTAAGAGCAATGGTGCCAAGCTTGCCTCTTTGACATTGTTATCTGACTGATAAAGGTAGGCTATAGCGGTACACAATACAGATATTTCCAGGGTAAAGTTGTTGAGCTGCTGTAATTTTCCTTGCCTCTTCACTATCTTCTCCTATAGTTGACTCCCAAGGAAAAGATAGTTGACTTTTAATCTAGAAATGTATGTTAATTGGCAAAAACAAAAAAATGAAACCATTAAATATCCTTTAGGCTTCTCTCTGCTCAGTTATTAGATCATATGAATGTTCCCTTAGGAAACACAGAAGGCCCACACTATTATAGAGAAAAATTTCTTACATTCTCTGCTGTTTAATGCTCTTCAAAAGACTTACCATACTTCACTAATTTGATTACCAACTACTTGAACACAGGGACCAATGTGCTTATTAAAAATTTTGCATATTATGAGGGCATTAACTTTTAAGTATTCGATTGTTAAGACAATGCATATTATTATAAACCATAGAAGGCACACTTATTACCTCCTTAAGAACCAGTCTCTATTTCTCTGGTTCATAGATCTCCAAGGTTATAGAGGGATTGGACATTTGTGTCTTCAATTGGCCCTCTTCAGCCCTAGGATAAATAGTGATTAATCTAAGTCAATGGTTTTCGGCTCTGTCTGACCCAATGCCTCTACTTCATAAGAAATTCTTCAAAGACCCCTTCACTATTCTAAACTATTAGTGAGAACACAATGTATGCATTGAAGTTGTTGAAAATATTAATTTTGTTCTGAAGCTAACAAAGGAGAAATAATTTACTGTCAATATATAATCCAAAATGTATATAATTGTGCCAGAACATTTACATATCAAATACAATAGAACATAATGAAATTTTCATATCTTCGCCCATACCTTGAAACATTGTAAATAAAAAGCTACAAATATAGTTTCATTGAATAACCAAATGCCAAAACTGCCATTTCTATTGTTGACATGATTGATCTGCATTGGTAAATGTAATAGATACTTTCTGTTTGGCCCTTGTCCCCTGTTATACTCCCCTATTTACTGGCTTTTGTCCAAGTGGAATGGTCCATATTGAATATCTCCATCGGTTCCCTTGCTCATTGCCTTCTATGCATGTTCATGAGATTAAAGGGAAGGAGGAAATGAGATTGGGGGTTATTGCCTAACTCCCTCTCTGCTAGGTCTCCTTGACCAATTTTTTCATAAGAAAATTAGTGTTTCCTTGTGTGATCAGGGCAGTCTACTCCCCAGAACTTTGCCTGCTGCTACTAACCCAGAGTTATTGTGGGGTGTGATTTCTGTGATTCCTTCACCCTTCTCCCCTGACATTTTCGTAAGTAGTCTCTTTGGAAATAAACCCATGTTAAATTATCTTAGTTTGTGTGTGTTCTATTTTTCCTATTGAGACTCTGAAATGAGTATCTAAATGAAAAAATCTACCGTCTTTTCTCATATACATAGCAGTTTCATTCTTGCAAAATTCATGGCATATTAAAACCATGCAAAAGTACTTGACACTTAGGCAGTTACATTTGGGATTGTATAATTAAACAGAGCAGGTTATTCACCTTCATTACATTAGAAAGTCATTCAGGACATACAGCAATCCTTAATTAGGAGCGGCTATCCCATGTTACTGGACATATGGCATCCCTGTTTTCCAATCCTTAAAGTTTTTCCTTAAAGTTCCAAAATGCCGTCACTTATTATTTCCTGCCATTGGATTTTGTCACATGAAGTTGTAAGGCTGGGAATGCCATAGCCATCTTGAAAACATAGGTAGAAAGATAAGAGAATCACAAAGAAGTGGATCATGTTGAATTAACTAAGCATTGATACCATCTATTTGTTGTGCGATTTGGTCAAAGTTGCTCCTTGTTTTTTTCTTCAATTAGTAGACTATTCTGTTACTTGAAGCTAAAAACTTTTTTTTTCTTTTCTTTCTTTCTTTTTTATTTTTGACAGAACCTTACTCTGTTGCCCAGGCTGGAGTGCAATGGCATGATCTTGGCTCACTGCAACCTCTGCTTGCCTAGTTCAAGCAATTCTCACACCTCAGCCTCCCTAGTAGCTGGGATTACAGGCACATGCCACCACACTCAGATAATTTTTGTATTTTTAGTAGAGATGGGGTTTCACACTGTTTGCCAGGCTGGTCTCAAACTCCTGACCTCAAGTGATCTGCCCACCTCAGCCTACCAAAGTGCTGGGATTACAGGTGTAAGCCACTGACCCTGCCCAAAAATATTTTAACCAATAGCAAAGCACATTATTTCATTACATTTTTTCAAAAGTTGCCAGTAATTTCAATTAAAAATATTATATAACATGTTTAATGCAATACAAATGCTTTTCAATGTACAATGGGGTTAAGTCTTGATAAGCTGATTATAAATTGAAAATACAGTAAGTTAAAAATGTATTTAATACCTAACTTACTGAATATCACAGCTTAGCCTGGCATACCTTTAATGTGCTCAGAACACTTACATCAGCTGACAATTGGGCAAAATCATTGAATACAAAACCTGCTTTATAATAAAGTATTGGATATTTTATGTAATTTGTTGAATATTGTACTGAAAGTGAAAAGCAGAATGGTTATATTCTATTCAAAGCTATCACTTTTGCTTCATCATAAAGTAAAAAAAATCATAGATTGAACCATTATCAGTTGTTGACCATCTGTGTATATGTATGTGTGTGTGTACCTATATAAACATGTATGTTTATATATATATTTGTGTGTGTATATATCCTCGGTGTGTGTGTATGTGTGTTTGAGAGTGTGTGTGTGTGTGTGTGTATGAAATTGTAGGGAAGTAAAATTTCTTATCTTATAGATATAGCATGTTAACATGTTGGTACCTATCCTCCTGAGATGTAAAATTTTACATGGATAGATGTGTACATTTACAGTTGTACACAAAGAGAAACATATTCTGTAGTCTCTTTGTTTTTCTGCAGTTTCATTCAACACTATCTGGTTTATATGGATGATTACATATATAATGCTAGGATGAAGGTTCTTCTGTATAACTTTGAAACTTCCTTGATTATCAACCATTGGTATATTCTTAGAATAGGATTTTATTTTAGAATTAAGATCCTTGTTTCAGGACTCTAGACTGTTAACACACAGAGCCAATAATTATTCAGAATGGTTGGGTTAGTTCACATTCCCACAGATGAGACATCAAATGTCCAGGCTGCACAGCCTCATTAACACTAGATATTCTGGACATTTTATATAGTATTTCATCTGATATAAAAAGTAGAATTCTAATTTGATTATGGTTGTTAATTTATTTTTAACTTTTTAGTCATTATGAAAATGTTTAACTATATGAAAAGCCAGGAAAGGGTTTTTTTTAAGGTAGTACTTCAGAAATATTTATGATACTTAATTTTTAAAAATTAACTCTAAAAGAATCTTGAAATGTCTGTTTAATAAAATAGGACACAAATACTGGTCACATTAGTGAAAAATATTTGTTTAAAATTAAAATATCTGCAGCAATCATGTAGATATTAATAATTTTTTAAAGAATGACATCTTCAAAATATAACTGTTCTAAACTAATATGTCTCCATTAATACATATAGATACATATAAATAAATAAATTTGAAGACTTCAAATTCCAGGTACAATATAATTTTTTTCTATCCTGTGATTTGTCATTCAGGATTTTGTAATTTGAACAGAAATATTTTGCCCTAACCCCATGTCTGTCTTTTCTCTTACCTAAAAATATTATTTTATGTAAAATTGTTTTAAAGGTCAGTTTGCACGTTTGAAAAGCATCTTGTACAATGTTACATAATATATTGCATATTTGGTTACATTGTTTTAACTGTGTAAATATGGTTTAAATCTGTAATGCTCTTTAGTGCTGATCATGATGCAAATCAAATTTATCTGTATAAAAGGCTCCTGTTAATTTTTTTTTATTATACTTTAAGTTTTAGGGTACATGTGCACAAAGTGTAGGTTTGCTACATATGTACACATGTGCCATGTTGGTGTGCTGCACCCATTAACTCCTCATTTAACATTAGGTATATCTCCTAATGCTATCCCTACCCCCTCCACCCACCCCACAACAGTCCCCAGTGTGTGATGTTCCCCTTCCTGTATCCATGTTTCCTCATTGTTCAATTCCCACCTATGAGTGAGAACATGTGGTGTTTGGTTTTTTCCCTTGCAATAGTTTGCTGAGAATGATGGTTTCCAGCTTCATCCATGTCCCTACAAAGGACATGAACTCATCATTTTTTATGGCTGCATGGTATTCCATGGTGTATATGTGCCACATTTTCTTAATCCAGTCTATCATTGTTGGACATTTGGGTTGGTTCCAAGTCTTTGCTATTGTGAATAGTGCCACAATAAACATACGTGTGTATGTGTCTTTTGAGCAGCATGATTTGTAATCCTTTGGGTATATACCCAGTAATGGGATGGCTGGGTCAAATGGTATTTCTAGTTCTAGATCCCTGAGGAATCACCACACTGACTTCCACAGTGGTTGAACTAGTTTACAGTCCCATCAACAGTATAAAAGTGTTCCTATTTCTCCACATCTTCTCCAGCACCTGTTGTTTCCTGACTTTTTAATGATCGCCATTCTAACTGGTGTGAGATGGTATCTCATTGTGGTTTTGATTTGCATTTCTCTGATGGCCAGTGATGATGAGCTTTTTTTCATGTGTCTTTTGGCTGCATAAATGTCTTCTTTTGAGAAGTGTCTGTTCATTTCCTTTGCCCACATTTTGATGGGGTTGTTTGTTTTCTTCTTGTGAATTTGTTTGAGTTCATTGTAGATTCTGGATATTAGCCATTTGTCAGATGAGTAGGTTGCAAAACTTTTCTCCCATTCTGTAGGATGTCTATTCACTCTGATGATAGTTTCTTTTGCTGTGCAGAAGCTCCTTAGTTTAATTAGATCCCATTTGTCAATTTTGTCTTTTGTTGCCATTGCTTTTGGTGTTTTAGACATGAAGTCCCTGCCCATGCCTATGTCCTGAATGGTATTGCCTAGGTTTTCTTCTAGGGTTTTTATGGTTTTAGGTCTAACATGTAAGTCTTTAATCCATCTTGAATTAATTTTTGTATAAGGTGTAAGGAAGGGATCCAGTTTCAGCTTTCTACATATGGCTAGCCAGTTTTCCCAGCACCATTTATTAAATAGGGAATCCTTTCCCTATTTCTTGTTTTTGTCAGGTTTTTCAAAGATCAGATAGTTGTAGATATGTGGCATTATTTCTGAGGGCTCTGTCCTGTTCCATTGGTCTATATCTCTGTTTTGGTACTAGTACCATGCTGTTTTGGTTACTGTAGCCTTGTAGTATAGTTTGAAGTCAGGTAGCATGATGCCTCCAGCTTTGTTCTTTTGCCTTAGAATTGATTTGGCAATGCAGGCTCTTTTTTGGTTCCATATGAACTTTAAAGTAGTTTTTTTCCAATTCTGTGAAGAAAGTCTTTGGTAGTTTGATGGAGATGGCATTGAATCTTTAAATTACCTTGGGCAGTATGGCCATTTTCAAGATATTGATTCTTCCTACCCATGAGCATGGAATGTTCTTCCATTTGTTTGTATCCTTTTTTATTTCATTGAGCAGTGATTTGCAGTTCTCCTTGAAGAGGTCCTTCACATCCCTTGTAAGTGGTATTCCTAGGTATTTTATTCTCTTTGAAGCAATTGTGAATGGGAGTTCACTCATGATTTGGCTCTCTGTTTGTCTGTTATTGGTGTATAAGAATGCTTGTGATTTTTGCACATTGATTTTGTATCCTGAGACTTTGCTGAAGTTGTTTATCAGCTTAACGAGATTTTGGGCTGAGATGATGGGGTTTTCCACATTCACAATCATGTCATCTGCAAACAGGGACAATTTGACTGCCTCTTTTCCTAATTGAATGCCCTTTATTTCCTTTTCCTTCCTGATTGCCCTGGCCAGAACTTCCAACACTATGTTGAATAGGAGTGGTGAGAGAGGGCATCCCTGTTTTGTGCCAGTTTTCAAAGGGAATGCTTCCAGTTTTTGCCATTCAGTATGATATTGGCTGTGGGTTTGTCATAGATAGCTCTTATTATTTTGAGATACGTTCTATCAATCCCTAATTTATTGACAGTTTTTAGCATGAAGATTTGCTGAATTTTGTCAAAGGACTTTTCTGCGTCTATTGAGATAATCATGTGGTTTTTGTCTTTGGTCCTGTTTATATGCTGGATTACGTTTACTGATTTTCATATGTTGAACCAGCCTTTCATCCCAGGGATGAAACCCGCTTGATCATGGTGGATAAGCTTTTTGATGTGTTGTAGGATTCTGTTTGCCAGTATTTTATTGAGGATTTTTGCATCACTGTTCATCAAGGATATTGGTCTAAAATTCTCTTTTTTTGTTTTGTCTCTGCCAGGCTTTGGTATCAGGATGATACTGGCCTCATAAAATGAGTTAGGGAGGATTCCCTCTTTTTCTATTGATTGGAATAGTTTCAGAAGGAATGGTACCAGCTCCTCCTTGTGCCACTGGTAGAATTTGGCTGTGAATCCATCTGGTCCTGGACTTTTTTTGGTTGGTAAGCTATTAATTATTGCCTCAATTTCAGAGCCTGTTATTGGTCTATTCAGAGATTCAGCTTCTTCCTGGTTTAGTCTTGGGAGAGTATACGTGTCGAGGAATTTATCCATTTCTTCTATATTTTCTAGTTTATTTGTGTAGAGGTGTTTATAGTATTCTCTGATGGTAGTGTGTATTTCTGTGGGATCGGTGGTGATATCCCCTTTGTCAATTTTTATTGCATCTATTTGATTCTTCTTTCTTTTCTTCTTTATTAGTCTTGCTGGTGGTCTATCAATTTTGTTGATCTTTTCAAAAAACCAGCTCCTGGATTCATTGATTTTTTGAGGGTTTTTTGTGTCTCTATTTCCTTCAGTTCTGCTCTGATCTAAGTTACTTCTTGCCTTCTGTTATCTTTTGAATGTGTTTGTTCTTGCTTCTCTAGTTCTTTTAATTGTGATGTTAGGATGTCAATTTTAGTTCTTTCATGCTTTCTCTTGTGGGCATTTAGTGCTATAAATTTCCCTCCACACACTGCTTTGAATGTGTCCCAGAGATACTGGTATGTTGTGTCTTTGTTCTTGTTGGTTTCAAATAAAATCTTTATTTCTGCCTTCATTTCGTTATGTACCCAGTAGTCATTCAGGAGCAGGTTGTTCAGTTTCCATGTAGTTGAGTGGTCTTGAGTGAGTTTTTAAATCCTGAGTTGTAGTTTGATTGCACTGTGTTCCGAGAGACAGTTTGTTATACTTTCTGTTCTTTTACATTTGCTAAGGAGTGCTTTACTTCCAATTATGTGCTCAATTTTGGAATAGGTGTGGTGTGGTGCTGAAAAGAATACATATTCTGTTGATTTGGGGTACAGAGTTCTGTAGATGTCTATTAGGTCTGCTTAGGGCAGAGCTGAGTTCAATTCCTGTATATCCTTGTTAACTTTCTGTCTCGTTGATCTGTCTAATGTTGACAGTGGGGTGTTAAAGTCTCCCATTATTATTGTGTGGAAGTCTAAATCACTTTGTAGGTCACTAAGGACTTGCTTTATGAATCTGGGTGCTTCTGTATTGTGTGCATATATATTTAGAATAGTTAGTTCTTGTTGAATTGATCCCTTTACCATTATGTAATGGCCTTCTTTGTCTCTTTTGATCTTTGTTGGATTAAAGTCTGTTTTATCCGAGACTAGGATTGCAACCCCTGCCTTTTTTTGTTTTCCATTTGCTTGGTAGATCTTCCTCCATCCCTTTATTTTGAGCCTATGTGTGTCTCTGCACGTGAGATGGGTTTCCTGGATACAGCACACTGATGGGTCTTGACTCTTTATCCAATTTGCCTGTCTGCACCTTTTAATTGGAGCATTTAACCCATTTACATTTAAGGTTAGTATTGTTATGTGTGAATTTGATCCTGTCATTATGACGTTAGCTGGTTATTTTCCTCGTTAGTTTATGCAGTTTCTTCCTAGCCTTGATGGTCTTTACAATTTGGCATGGTTTTACAGTGGCTGGTACCAGTTGTTCCTTTCCATGTTTAGTGCTTCCTTCAGGAGATCTTTTAGGGCAGGCCTGGTGGTGACAAAATCTCTCAGCATTTGCTTGTCTGTGGAGCATATTATTTCTCCCTCACTTATGAAGGTTAGTTTGGCTGGATATGAAATTCTGGGTTGAAAATTCTTTCCTTTAAGAATGTTGAATATTGGCCCCTACTCTCTTCTGGCTTATAGAGTTTCTGCAGAGAGATCAGCAGTTAGTCTGATGGGCTTCCTTTTGTGGGTAACCCGACCTTTCTCTCTGGCTGCCTTTAAAATTTTTTCTTTCATTTCAACTTTGGTGAATCTGGCAATTATGTGTCTTGGAATTGCTCTTCTCGAGGAGTATCTTTGTGGCATTCTCTGTATTTCCTGAATGTGAATGTTGGCCTGCCTTGCTAGATTGGGGAAGTTCTCCTGGATAATATCCTGCAGAGTGTTTTCCAACTTGGTTCCATTCTCCCCGTCACTTTCAGGTAAACCAAATAGACGTAGATTTGTTCTATTGACATAGTCCCATATTTCTTGGAGGCTTTGTTCATTTCTTTTTATTCTTTTTTCTCTAAACTTCTCTTCATGCTTCATTTCATTCATTTCATCTTCCATCGCTGATACCCTTTCTTCCCGTTGATCACATCGGTTACTGAGGCTTATGCATTTGTCGTGTAGTTCTCGTGCCATGGTTTTCAGCTCCATCAGGTCCTTTAAGGACTTCTCCACATTGGTTATTCTAGTTATCCATTCGTCTAATTTTTTTTTTCAAAGTTTTTAACTTCTTTGCCATTGGTTCGAACTTCCTCCTTTAGCTCGGAGTACTTTGATCTTCTGAAGTCTTCCTCTCTCAACTCTTCAAAGTCATTCTCCGTCCAGCTTTGTTCCATTGCTGGTGAGGAGTTGCATTCCTTTGGAGGAGGATAGGCACTCTGATTTTTAGAGTTTCCAGTTTTTCTGCTCTTTTTTTCCCCATCTTTGTGGTTTTATCTACCTTTGGTCCTTGATGATGGTGACATACAGATGGGGTTTTGGTGTGGATGTCCTTTCTGTTTGTTAGTTTTCCTTCTAACAGTCAGGGCCCTCAGCTGCAGGTCTGTTGGAGTTTACTGGAGGTCTCCTCCAGACACTATTTGCCTGGGGGGTATCAGCAGTGGTGGCTGCAGAACAGTGGATATTGGTGAAGTGCAAATGCTGCTGCCTGATCGTTCCTCTGGAGGTTTTGTCTCAGAGGGGTACCTGGCCATGTGAGGTGTCAGTCTGCGCCTACTGGGGGGTGCCTCCCAGTTAGGCTATTGGGGTTCAGGGACCCACTAGGTGGGGGTTGTCTGCCCGTTCTCAGATCTCAAGCTGCATGCTGGGAGAACCACTACTCTCTTCAAAGCTGTCAGACAGGGACATTTAAGTCTGCAGAGGTTATTGCTGTCTTTTGTTGGTCTGTGCCCTGCCCACCGAGGTGGAGCCTACAGAGGCAGGCTGGCCTCCTTGAGCTGTGGTGGGCTCCACCCAGTTCGAACTTCCTGGCTGCTTTGTTTACTTACTCAAGCCCGAGCAATGGCGGGCGCCCCCCTCCCCCAGCCCCACTGTTACCTTGCAGTTTGATCTCAGACTGCTGTGCTAGCAAACAGCGAGGCTCCGGGGGTGTAGGACCCTCCAAGCCAGGTGCTGGATATAATCTCCTGGTGTGCCATTTGATAAGCCTGTTGGAAAAGCGCAGTATTAGGGTGGGAGTGACCTGATTTTCCAGGTGCCATCTGTCACCCCTTTCTTTGACTAGGAAAGGGAATTCCCTGACCCCTAGTGCTTCCCAGGTGAGGTGATGCCTTGCCCTGCTTTGGCTCATGCATGGTGCGCTGCACCCACTGTCCAGCACTCCCCAGTGAGATGAACCTGGTACCTCAGTTGGAAATGCAGAAATCACCCGTCTTCTGCATCACTCACGCTGGGAGCTGTAGACTGGAGCTGTTCCTATTCGGCCATCTTGGCTCCACCCTCTAATTTTTAACTTTCAAAAGATTAGATACATTTACCCTCTTCTGAATTTTAATTCCTGATGGAAAGATTGTGAAATCTCAAGAGGATAATGAATCAGCTTCTGATTATATTCTGGAATTGCGATTTTATCACACATCCAAGAATGCGTATTCACTTTCCTTTACATTACACACATGCATAATACCATGCTGAGTGATGCTGGAAAAAGTGAGTCTTCAGTAATGCCCTCATGAAATTACAGTCTCACTACACTGAGGTATTTTCTTTTTAACCCTTTCTTTCTTTTCTGCTGTGAATATGTGTCTTCTAAGAGGTGAACAATGGGAAAAACTGAAAAAGAACCTTCATCTAATTCAGTAACTAGCTTTTGTATCTTCTAAGAATTTTTATCTCCAGAAAGCTCTAATTTTCATTCCTTTACAAGCTTTATTTCTCTCTCCTTTCCAACACCAGACTTTGCTCTGTTTGTTTTCTATATCTTTTTTAGAGATGCCTACAATAGAAAAAAACTATGACATATTCAATACATCTGAAAAGTTTGCATTACCATAGATAAGAATGAATTATCTGTTTATAAAGAAAAAACAATAAAAATATGAACCAAGAAAGCACAGAAGGTAGTAACCACATTTAGATGTTTATCATGGAATCATCTTTATAATCCATCTGTTACAATTCCACAGAGCAAATTACAAGTAATTGTGAAGTTTCCCCTCATTTTATAGGTTTGGTCTTATAAGGCATACAACACAAATTTTAATTACTTTTCTTTTTGGTATTTGGATCTTAATTTGGTCAAGTGGCCACTGGGTAGATGATGGAGCCTCTTGAGACATACAGTCTTCTTCTAGCTTTGTTGATGTGAATATTACTGTGTATTTTTCATTCACTTATTATTTTACAAGGCATACTTCATTAAAAATATATCAGCATCTCATTGACAAATCACAAAATTTAAAAGGCACCAGAAAAAAACAATTTATTTAAAACATTCCTGTGTAAAAGTAGTCACCACTCTTACTATTCTTCAAATATTTTTATTATATTTAAACACAAGCCTAGTTTTATCTCGAGTGTCTGACCTTGATGATATTGTACACTTTAAACTTAGAAAAATTGAACTCTATTGGAAATTTCCTACAGATCAGCTTTTCTAGATGCCAAGTGCCTTGTTTCAGCCATGGTGATGACAGCAAATTGGGTTCTCAGGGATTCTGGCCTCTGGCATCATCTCAGTTGTTTATAATTGAAGTTGGGTCTGATGAGAACGCAGCTTAGATGCATGGTGGGACTGCTGGGCTTAAGGCTGGCCTGCCAGGAGGTTGCATTGAGGTGTAACTAGGCAAAGAAAGAAGGAGTTTATTGAGGCACTACTGACAATAGCAAAGACTTGGAACCAACCCAAATATCCAACAATGATAGACTGGATTAAGAAAATGTGGCACATAAACACCATGGAATACTATGCAGCCATAAAAATGATGAGTTCATGTCCTTTGTAGGGACATGGATGAAGCTGGAAACCATCATTCTCAGCAAACTATCACAAGGACAAAAAAACACCGCATGTTCTCACTCACAGGTGGGAATTAAACAATGAGAACACATGGACACAGGAAGAGGAACAGCACACACTGGGGCCTATTGTGGGGTGAGGGGCTAGGGGAGGGAAAGCATTAGGATATATACCTAATGTAAATGACGAGGTAATGGGTGCAGCACACCAACATGTCACATGTATACATATGAAACAAACCTGCACGTTGTGCACATGTACCCTACAACTTAAAGTATAACAAAAAAAAGAAGGGGTTGGACAAAATTACCAACAATCTTCAACTATGAATTTGTATGAGTAGGGGCTTCCCACACCATCAGGCACTCCAAGTTGGAGAAACAAGGGATGTTGAATTGAAAGTTTAATTTTTTAGGCTTGATAGTCAGATTAGGGAAGTTTTGGGTACACCTTTCCCACTCTAGAGCCCTCTCCCTAACTCAGGGCCAATTTGGGACATGGGCTCAGTGGAAAAGAGTGTCAAGATCAATTAGAAATATCCATCATGAACATAGGAGGCAGGCATTCTGGCCAAGGGGGTGCGTCTTCCCACTTTGTAATCCAGAGTGCGATTTCTTCTTGCTATCTGTCCCTCCATAAATAAGCGTTGGGTGAAGGACAAGCTAGTTACCATTGAGGATGGAATGAAATTCTACCAGAATTGCAAAATGAACTGAGAGCCACGAAAGTTTTCCTCTGTGAACCAGCAGAGAGATCTGTGGAAGGCAAAGGAAGAGGAGCCAAGAGGCCAGATAACATTCCTGCTTCCCCTACATTGTGAGAGTGAAATTGTCAGCAACCTATATCAGTAATTAACCAGAGGCTTTTTAGAGAGTAAGACTTCTGATAGATACCTCAATAGCTGAAGTTGCTCTTCAGTACTGCATATAACCTGTGGACAGATTTTCATCATTATTAATTCATTTATTCAACAGATAGATATTAAATTCAAGGCATAGTTCTAAACTATGCAGTCAATTACAAAAAAAATAATAATGAAGGACATTAGCTCTGCCTCATAGGACGTTAAAACTCTAGCTGCTAAATGAGACAAATAGGGTTCCCACATCAAGTGCCTGGGCTCCTGTTATAAACTGGGCTCTGCTTCCATTGGCTTCTCTTGTTTCTGTTTTGATAAACCCATCATTTGGCTTAGTCCCTACCCTTGCCATGCTCACCCACCAGTAGGTGGACCTCCTTGACCATAACTATAGACATAGATCTTTGATTGTTTCTTTTCAAATATTTGCTTACTTTAGAAGTGCAGTCAAATGTTGTTTGGACCATAAGACTCCGAGGCTGTGTGTGGTTGAAACTGTCTTGAGACTCAAAGAGCTATTGAGGAAGGGATTTGATAGCTGAACTCTTTTGAAGATTTTCTCTGTCTCTCACACATCTGGGGCTGAATAGCTTAACGTTTAATTTCTACATCGACGATAGTTTAATAGCCATTCATGCAAATCAGTTCTGCTGTGAGTTATTATCCTACTCCAATACCAACTAACGCATTCCTTAAATTTAGTGTACGTATAAATTCTACATGGTAAGTGAAGCTGTCTTTATGAATTGCTGCTATAGAATATACTAGATTGTGTAGGTTTTAGTACAATCCAGGTAATTATCAAGCCTTTGTAATATTTTCAGGAAAGTGATCCTTTCACTTTAGTTTATGGAACTTGAAAATTTTTTAGTTGCCACCGACTAGTTAGATCATAAACTTAATTCTATGTAGCTGAATTTATTTTTCTATTTATAAATTTATCTGGGTGCTTTCTCAAAAGTTTCTCAGATTAAAAACCTATGGCTTTGTAAAATTAAAACAGAAGTAATAGGAATTGTGTTAAAAAACAGAATCAGGCCAAGCCTGGTGGCTTATGCCTCTAATGCCAACACTTAGGGAGGCCAAGGCGGGAGGATCATTTGAGGTCAGGAGTTCAAGACCAGCCTGGACAACATGGCAAAACTCCACATGTATTAAAAAAATACACAAATTAGCTGGGCGTGGTGGTGAATGCCTTTAGTCCTAGCTACTCAGGAGGCTAAGGCAGGAGAATAGCTTGAACCTGGGAGGCTGAGGTTGCAGTGAGCCAAGATAGAGCCACTACATTCCAGCCTGGGTGACAGAGTGAGATCCTGTCTTAAAAAAAAGGAAAAAAGAAAAAGAAAAAACAGAATCATACAATGAGAGAGATTGTATAGCCCTTTTAATTGTCCATAAAGGATACATTTCTTTTTCTGTGTAATAGTTTATCAGCATGAAAATTTTCTTTTTCTGTGTAATAGTTTATCAGCATGAAAAAAAAGAGTCACTGAACACTGATAATTTTCTTTCTCTCTCTCTCTCTCTTTTTTTCCTTTTTTTGGAGATGAAGTCTCACTCTGTTGCCCAGGCTGGAGTGCAATGGCAACATCTCTGTTCACTGCAAACTTCACATCCTAGGTTCAGGAGATTTTCCTGCCTCAGCCTCCCAAGTAGCTGGGATTCCAGGTGGACCCCGTCATGCCTGGATAAATTTTTGTATTTTCAGTAGAGACGGGGTTTCATCATGTTGGCCAGGCTGGTCTCAAACTCCTGACCTCAAATGATCTGCCCGCCTTAGCCTCCCAAATTACTGGTGATGATTTTCATTTAATGGTGTTCTACAAAGTGAGTTTAGGCAGTGAAAGGGCACAAGTCACCTATAGTTTACCGGAAAGTAGTACCAGTCACCAGCGTTGAAGCATACTCCTAACCCTGGAAAATTTCTTCAGCAGCCAGAATTAATCTCAGATTTTGAGACTGGAGCAAAGACTAATTTGGTATGTGTTCATTCAGATTAGTAAATCTCCATGGTGTTCGAACTGTATAATATCAAATCTAAAATAAGTCAAGAGAGTTGGACAATATCTCATCTCTGAGAAAAAAAATGCATTATTTTCAAGAGATTTAAGACTGAATTTAAAATCCAACTGCCTATTCCAGTGTATGTTTCTCTAGAATAAGACCAAGCCATACAAATTCTGGATAGTGTCCTCCAAGTTGTGTTTAAGTGATAATTGATAAATCTATGGTTTAGATACATATGGAATTCCACATAACTCTAGCTCCAGCCTTTGCGAGTAAAAATTGGCAGTGATCATGGCCTTAATGGAGGCATGTGGTTAATTGGAATTTTCAGTACCAAAAGTCTTCTTCTTACTAGTTTATCAGGGTACCCTATAATAGTATCCATAACTCATTGCCCACTTGTCTGTTTTGATTTCTTTTTTAAAAATACAATTTTAAACTTAGAGGTTTTGTACCTCAAGTCACATATGTGGCACATTTATAAAATAATCATGCCTTTGCATATTTTTCCTTTGATATCTTAGCTGTATATACAAGCCACTTATGTTTTTTAATTGCCACAAATATTGCACTGAAATAGAGCACTAGTTGCAAAAATGCCTGGTATAACATTTCTTCTTGTTCTTGAAAGTAATTTTAATACCCCATGTTTAAGATATTCCTAGACAACTATAAGTAACTATAATTATTTCTGCTAGGTAGAAGCATCTTTGTGGTCAACATTTGTGAAGTGCCTTGTAAATAAAAATATGCTTGAGTAGAAATAGTATTTTGCAAATATAGCCCTAAATAGAGCTACTGATTTTACCAAAAATTAAGGACTCCAAACTCTGTCTTTGTCTTTCAAATTTGGTTTATAGGAACATCTCATTACAATGAGCAAAAAGCCTATCTGATCACTAAAGAGATAATTTTGACACTTCCAAATGACACAGCTAATTTGTAGTAGGTTTTTGAAGTGCAAATTACATGTTTCTGTTTAAATAATGACAGTAAAATATGGACAGTATCTATTCACACTCTATATACACAACTACAACTTGTCCCTAGAAGAAAAGTTTAATTTTTCAGGTCTCATCCACAAAACGAAGTGTTAATAAGCTGTATCTTTATACTCACTTTTAAGTAATTTCTTCTTAACCATTGTATAACACTACCACAGTTTGTATGGAGATAAAATAACTCATGGTGAGAAATCCAGTTCTTTAAAAAATCATTTTACCTTCAATCACTTTTAGGATGTCTATGGTTTTAGAGTAAGGACGAAAATTTATAAACATTTGTTAAATTATGCAACTGTGTTTGAAGATGTTTCAAAATTACATTTTCCTTATTTTACAACTAGTTTTCATGTATTCACAAACGAGACACATGAGAATTATTAATGCAAAAGCACAGCATATCAACAAAGTTTATAATGTAAATAGTTTAGTTAGGAAAGAATGTAATGAGTGAATTATCAAAGCTATTTTATTGGTTCCTAGATTTACCACAGAAGAAAATAAAACAGGCTTTTAAAAATTTCTCAGCACTGAGACCATTTAAGGTCTATTTTGTATGCCGTAAGTTCTAAAAAATGTTATTGCTGGTAAAAATAGGATGCCTATCTAAAATTGTCTTTTTAAAGGTTCTCTCTTATTCTTCTTCCCTTCCTATGTGTGCATAGAATACTGTCATCGTCTTGATTGGAACACTGTCTCTCTTTCTCAGAGGGTGTACATTTGTAGAAGGGAGAAAATATTTGTTAATTTTGCTTCCTATAAGATAAGGTCTCAATGGTTGAAGGTCAGTTAACAAACTTTTTTTTTGTCTTCATACTATTATCTTGGAATTACCAACTGGCTTCTACTTAGATTTTGAATAATGAAAGAAAAGAACTAGCATTTGTTGGAACTTACTGTGTTCCAGAAACTTTATTGATGCCATTTCTTCTCATTATCACATTCATTCTTTCAATTAGTATTATTTTTTTCCATCTTAATGAGGTGGGACCAGAGGTTTTGTAATATCCACTAATCCACTGTGGATTTCATGGATTGCAAGAGGAAGAAAGCATGGTGGAACTCAGGTTTCTCTGATTCCAAATTCACATCCTTTCATGTCTCCATGAAAAATAGAAAAGATAAATTGGGCTCTATTCTAACAAGAGAAACACAATTTTCCGTCAGTTAAATGAATAATTCTTTTTTATTTTATTTTATTTTATTTTTATTATTATACTTTAAGTTTTAGGGTACATGTGCACATTGTGCAGATTAGTTACATATGTATACATGTGCCATGCTGGTGTGCTGCACCCAGATACCTAAATGAATAATTCTTAAACCTCAAAAATAAAACGTAGCAAAACCTCAATTCAAGAGTAGACATAAAGGTTGTGACATGGGTAGCAGGGACATATGTCTAGTGACAGATTTCCTATGCATATCTGACCAAAAATCCCCCTCATGATTTTCAAATCAGATGCTTAACTACATTTAATGAGTTTCCCGAATCATTAATATCAGGCTCTGAAAACAGGATCATTAAAAATGATTAAGACTTTCAACAACAAATATCTTATCTAAATAGTAAGGAAATTATATTAGATGGCTCCATTCCCTGGGCAGTCTAGTTAACAATTCGACTTGTTCAAAGCTATAAAATATGGCAACTTAAAAAATTATGAAAGTTTTTCTAACTTTGTGCTTAAGGTAGTTGGCCATTCTTCCTCTTGGGAATAAGAAGGGTAGATTTTCTGTCGAAGCATTTTTCTATTGCTTTTCAATTTCCTTTTATGGAAAATAGATAAAATAGCAATTTTTTAATTATAAATTTAAAGTCAAAATGGAGATAATTAAGTATCTCCATTAATTAAGTAAAGATTAATTTTTTTTAAAATAGCATTTACTATATTCTAATCAATCAATTGATTGACTATTTTTATCCCTGGCTCAATGTAACTCTCTTTGACATACTCTTGTCTTAATTCTAATTTAAGTCAACAATGTGTAATCATAGATGACTCCTTGCCATTTTGATCTCTCAGTTCTATGAACACCTTTGATCTAACAATAATGTTTTCCAACAGAATTATTTCTACTCAAACTTCTGAGATCAAATTTGTGGATTCAGTCTCACCCCAATCAATTCTTCAACTCTCAGGACACCAAATGGTGTCCTACAATTCAATTCAATCCTGAGTCTATCTATCTGGAGATAGCATAGATCCCAAAAGTTCAGGGCTCAGGCCCACAAGACTGCCCCCACACCATTAGAGAGGAGTTGTGGGCCTCCCATACTCCTGACCAACTGTCTATAAATTAGGACCTCCATGGATTCCTTCCTCAGGTTCTATAATTTGCTAAGATGGCGCACAGAACCCAAGAAAGCACTTTGTTACAGTTACTGTCTGATACAAATCAGGAACTCTCAAATAGAAGAGACACATAGGGCCAGGTATGGTGAAAAGGGGCACAAAGCTGCCATATGACCTCTAAGTATATCATTCTATCACCCTCCCAGCACCTCAGAGGTGATGGAGGAGAGGGCTGACAGTTTCAACCATCTAGTTATGCCTTCATGTTTCTGATGTCCAGCACACACCCTGAAGCTATACGGGTCTCCAGCCACCACTCATGTCATGTCAATAGCATAAACTCAGGTATGGCTAAGAGAGACTTATGACTAGTAAAGGATGGTCCTCTCATCTCTATCAGGAAATTTCAAGTTTTAGGAGCTCTGTACTGTGAACTGGGGAGGAAGACCAAATAGGACATACACTAGACCAGTTGTGCTAACTACAGTGTGCCTCAAAATTGCCTACAGTTGTGTTACAATAAAAGATTGCTGAGACCTGCTATTGGAATTTCAGATTTGGTAGATCTGGGGCTGTAACCTGAGAATATGCACTTCTAGTAAGTTCCCAGGTGATGCTGATGCTGCTAGCACAGGGACCACACTTCCAGACGGACTGAGTGAAGCATCGTCATTACTTATAATAGGAACTTCTCTGTAGTCACAATTTTATTCATCCCATTCTCTGAGCTCCTCCTTTAATCATTCCCTTTCATATGCTGACATAAAATTTTTCAATCTCTCTGAGACCTCCAAACTATTATTTTATCATATTCACAATGACCCTTACCTACTTGATGTACTCTATTTCCTGTTCTCCTGCCTAAATTCCATGGCCAACCATTCCCAGGAAACTTCAACTTCCTGGTTTCTCTTTCACTTTGCTGAATATAACCAGGAAAATAACCCTGGTTATATCCAAATTTCCACCAAATCCCCACATATATTTGAGCAACTAGCTATATGGATCAAATTGAAAAATATCCCACTTGAAAATGAGAATCTCAGTGCTGCCTATCAATCAATCATACTACATATGTTCCAATCTATTCATTCTCTAATTTACCTAGTTTTGTATCTTATCCTGTCTCTAATCCCTAACACTTGCCCAGAAATCCTCAATGTCTTTTTGGTTGTGCTTCCCTGAGAACACTGAATCATCCAAAGACAACTTCCACAGACTCCTGAAACCATTTAAACTCACTTTCCCGTCTACACCCACATACTCTCCATTTTCACCTATTATTATCTGTGAAATAAATGGCCCCTATCTGTATATTGTCTGATGATGATTTCTATATTACAGGTGAAGAAAATGAGAATAGGGTTAGAGCTACTTTCTCATTATAGCATAGCTAAGAATCAAATCCACGCAGTCCACCACTGAAACTGGGGTTCCAAGTCAGTGTATTTGGAGAAGGAGAGCTAGTAGAAAAATAAGGATGAAAAGATCCAGGATGAAGCTTCTGATGGAAGAAAAGGACATTTTTACTATTATGAACTCCTTGAAGTAGACCTTAAGCATTCTCATCTGGACAAATATCCATTCATCCACTCCAGTGAGCTGATTAAGTTTTAGGATTTTAAGGGTCAGTGAACATTTATTCCTCATTCAGCAATTAAAGAAGGATTAATATGAATATTATCTTGGAGAAGTTTAATTTAAAATATATTTGATTGATTTTCGGCAATTGTCTTCTATCAGATCATTACCAATCCATATGAATTGGTAGGAAGGGAGAAAACCCAAAATTTAATCAGATGCCTGAAGTTAGGGAACATTTTATAACCAACCCAGGGGGAGAAAAATGCTCAAAAGGGGAAAGATGAGGACAGAAAATACATTTCAAAGATTTTAACTTTTTGACAAAATGTCATTTCTGTGCAAGAAAAACTGATTGTGTGAATATAACTGTCATTTACATCTGCCAATGTGTTCAGAAATATATAACCTATAATTTTTTTAATAGTAGTTTGTTAAAACAAAATTTATTCATCAAAGTATCTAAAACATTCTAAAAATACTAAAAATTTTCAGTTTAAATATTAAGCTAAACAGCTCTGTATATATAAATAAGCTCAAACAAACGTGCATGCTTCCCAACAATAACACTGCTACAGATATTGATTGGTGGTTTTGGTTTCATTTCATTTTATAATGGCAAATCTGGTTAAAACCCAGATTCTGGGCTGGGCACAGTGGCTCACGTCTGTGATCTCAGCACTTTGGGAGGCTGAGACAGGCAAATCACAAGGTCAACAGATCGGGACCATCCTGGCCAACATGGCGAAACCCCATCTCTACTAAAAAAAAATACGAAAGTTAGCTGGGCATGGTGGCACGTGCCTGTAGTCCCAGCTACTTGGGAGGCTGAGGCAGGAGAATCACTTGGACCTGGGAGGCAGAGGTTGCATGAGCTGAGACTGTGCCACTGTACTCCAGCCTGGTAACAGAGAGAGACTCCATCTCAAAACAAAACAAAACAAAACAAAACAAAACAAAACAAAACAAAACCCCAGATTCTGAACTGACTCTCACAATAAGGATCTCAATTGCTTCAAAGAGAATAAAACACCTAGAAATCCAACTTAAAAGGGATGTGAAGGACCTCTTCAAGGAAAACTACAAACCACTGCTCAATGAAATAAGATACAAACAAATGTAAGAACCTTCCATGTTCATGGGTAGGAAGAATCAATATTCTGAAAATGGCCATACTGTCCAAGGTAATTTATAGACTCAATGCCATCCCCATCAAGCAACCAATGACTTTCTTCACAGAATTGGAAAAAACTACTTTAAAGTTCATATGGAACCAAAAAAGAGCCTGCATTGCCAAGTCAATCCTAAGGCAAAAGAACAAAGCTGGAGGTACTACGCTGCCTGACTTCAAACTATACTACAAGGTTACAGTGACCAAAACAGCATGGTACTGGTACCAAAAGAGAGATAGAGGCCAATGGAACAGAACAGAGCCCTCAGAAATAATGCCACATGTCTACAACTATCTGATATTTGACAAACCTGACAGAAACAAGAACTAGGGAAAGGATTCCCTATTTAATAAATGGTGCTGGGAAAACTGGCTAGCCATATGTAGAAAGCTGAAACTGGATCCCTTCCTTACACCTTATACAAAAATTAATTCAAGATGGATTAAAGACTTACATGTTAGACCTAAAACCATAAAAATCTTGGAAAAAAACTAGGCAATACCATTCAGGACATAGGCATAGGCAGGGACTTCATGTCTAAAACACCAAAAGCAATGGCAACAAAAGCCAAAATTGACAAATGGGATCTAATTAAACTAAAGAGCTTCTGCACAGCAAAAGAAAGCACCATCAGAGTGAACAGGCAACCTACAGAATGGGAGAAAGGTTTGCAATCTACTCATCTGACAAAGGACAAATATCCAGAATCTACAATGAACTCCAACAAATTTACAAGAAAAAAGCAACCCCATCAAAAAGTGGGCGAAGGATATGAACAGACACTTCTCAAAAGAAGACATTTATGCAGCCAAAAAACACATGAAAAAATGCTCATCATCACTGCCCATCAGAGAAATGCAAATCAAAACCACAATGAGATACCATCTCACACCAGTTAGAATGGCGATCATTAAAAAGTCAGGAAACAACAGGTGCTGGAGAGGATGTGGAGAAATGGGAACACTTTTACACTGTTGATGGGACTGTAAACTAGTTCAAACATTGTGGAAGTCGGTGTGGCGATTCCTCAGGGATCTAGAACTAGAAATACCATTTGATCCAGCCATCCCATTACTGGGTATATACCCAAAGGATTATAAATCATGCTGCTCTAAAGACACATGCACACGTATGTTTATTGTGGCACTATTCACAATAGCAAAGACTTGGAACCAACCCAAATGTCCAACAATGATAGACTGGATTAAGAAAATGTGGCACATATACACCATGGAATCCTATGCAGCCATAAAAAATGATGAGTTTATGTCCTTTGTAGGGACATGGATGAAGCTGGAAACCATCATTCTCAGCAAACTATCACAAGGACAAAAAACCAAACACCACATGTTCTCACTCATAGGTGGGAATTTAACAATGAGAACACATGGACACAGGAAGGTTAACATCACACACTGGGGACTGTTGTGGGGTGGGGGGAGTGGGGAGGGATAGCATTAGAAGATATACCTAATGTTAAATGACGAGTTAATGGTTGCAGCACGACAGCATGGCACATGTATACATATGTAACAAACGTGCACGTTCTGCACGTGTACCCTAAAACTTAATGTATAATAATAATAATTAAAAAAAATGAAAACATATGTCCACACACACACAAAAAAAAGAAAAAAATAAGGATCTCAAAGAGGTCACTATGTATATAATCTATTCTTAAAGAAAAATTTTCTCCAATTGTTTAATGAAATATCACACAGACTCTGACTTTGTTTATACCCTTAAAAATTATGTAGATTTATGTGTAGCTTTTGTAAAGTGAAAGCTCAGAATGTCTACTCTGTTCTGGTACCACTTTAGTTTAATTGTTGGGAAATATTTAATAAAAATGAATTACTCAACAAATGGAAAATTTGAACTTTGCATACTAAATTTTTACTTCATATTATCAACTCTTGAAAAATAAGTGTGTATATTAGAAATGACACTCATTTGACTATACCATAATATATTTCAGACATTTTATCTTCAGCTACAGAATTTCTCCATCCTTTGAATTATGTTAGAGGGCTTTAGTTGGCCAGTATTGGTGATTCGCCTCCACTAATTCACAACTCTATTGTCTTACCCCCGGGGATGCATTTCCATAGTTCTGCCTTGTTATGAGTGTCATTTTTTTCTTCTGTTTTGTTGACTGCCATTCAAATAGTTTTGGCTTTATCAGAGATTTTCACTTTATTGTCACCCCCTCATTTTTTTAACTTCTCATAATTTACTGTATTATATCTGCCTGGGCTTTTGGTTCCTTTACAGATTTGTTTCACTTTATTTTTAGCTTATGATACTTCTAAAGTCTGTATCCTTTTAATTTTCACTTGCTTCTTCGTCACATTCTTGTGTTTTGTTTTCATTTCAAAATACCAGAAAGTAGGATGTCTCAGCATCTTGGTGAGTGGAATAGTTTATTTATAATCCAAAAAAATCCCCCATACTTTTTGTGAGCTATCTGCTTCTAAGTAAAAATTTTATATATAAATTCTTGAAAAAAATATTAAACTTCTGAGGGATTGAATGAGATTTTAAAAATCATTCTATACAACAATGGGTGCAAAATTTGTATTCCTCTACTCAAGAGAAATCATGAACATTTTTTATTAGTTTACTAACATCTAAATATTAATGTATTCAATTATATATTATTAAAACACGATTAAGCTTAAGAGGTGGAAAAGTATAAAACAAACAAGTGGATAATCTACCTTTATTAATATGAAACATCTTTTTCTCTCCTGAAAATAAAGATTAACCAGGGGTGTGCTGGGGCGGGAGGGGGTGTGTTGGAGGGAGAAAAGCCATGATTTGCCAATTTCAGCACAAAACTGAAAATGGTTATTAATCTTTACTAGCTACAGATATCTTTTAACATATATTGAAATCTATGACCCTTAAAAAGAAAACATATATACAGATTTTGACAAAACTTTGCAGTTCCACTCATGGATCCTTGTATAAGAATCCCTTTTATATGTGTGTTTGCAATTTAAAGAGTTCAGACTTTATGATTCACAGGTGACAATTAATGATTTAAAATCATAACTTAGGCTTTTATAATTTGGGAGTCAGGTGTTTAACTGCTGTAGTAGTAACTGCTTCTTCTCAGAGAAACTTAGGAGCTAAGACCAGGGAAATGTCCCTTGGTGTGCAACACACCTCTTCTTTCTGAACATATCGTATAAGAAGCTAACTTTGTCTCAAAGTTTATATGACTTTTGCATTTGCAGTTACTAGCTATTTTCTTTTGGAACTGTTGGAGTTGGAGAACTTTCCCTCTACCCTCTGAAGGTGTGATAACTGAGTCTATTGAATAAATGGATAACAGGCATGTCAAAAGAAGAAAATGTGTACACATTTATTACACGCATGGGGGAATCACAGGAAAGAAAAGTGGAATCAAAAACAAAACAAAACAAACAAAACACCACCAAGAAAAAAACCCAGTGAGATTTAGGAGCTTATAGGGAAGGCAGGAGGAAGAATGTAGGAAACTTAGGGGAGAGCAAATGACTTTTGGGAAAGATGACCAGACCCTTAGGAGAATAGATGATAGTTTGTGGCAGTCTGTCTTAGTGTGGTATGGACCCTTAGTCTTGTCTCCTGTGATATGAGGAGTCGATTTTCCCTGGCTGATGAAACTCCTAGGAAGGAGATGAATGTCTTTGTGCTGACAAGACAGTATCTTGAAGTTTTGATTTCCAATTCCGTTCTAAATCTGCAGTGTATAAAAATCTCCTCATCATGCTTTGGATGTTATGGTAGATAAATGGTATCTTTACAAAGATACATTCATTCTGGTATTGAAAGTTCCTTTTGGAGGATCTCTCTTGAGGAACGTAAAGGGAGTGCAGAGAAAGCATGTCTCGCATTTGTTGTTTTTCAAATATTTTCAGTTCGATGTAATCAGTACACCAAAGCAATCCATTTAGGACTGGCATTTCCTGAACACCTTCAGAACTCTTTTTATCCCATGTTATTTCTATGAGATCACGTGATTTAAGAATAACTTTTACTTGCCACTTACATATATATTGAAAAGGTAAACTTTCCTTTCGTAGTTTGCTAATTTTGGCAAAGTACTTTAACAAAAGTTAAATTAAATGAGTAAGTGAAATTTTCTGTTCTATTGTTTTGAAAACAATTCTAGAAACTCTCCTTGTAAGAACAGCAAAAAGAGAAAAAGATAATTCTCAACTGCTGCTTCAACCATTCTTTGCTTAACAATTAGTTAATTAAAAGGCAAAACTCTATTTCAGGTTTATATGTGTCAATTGCTTGATTAGAAAGTAAATTATTTACCACATATAATCTGGTGTCAAAAAACTTATAATAAAATTACTTTGATTTTATTGCTTATAAGTTTGTGAATTTAAATCTCAACTTACAGTGATGAATTTATTTGCTTTGTGCTGACAAGACAGTATCTTGAAGTTTTGTTTTCCAACTCAGTTCTAAATCTGCAGTGTATCAAAATCTCCTCATTATGCTTTGGATGTTATGGGACATAAATGGTATCTTCACAAAGATACATTCATTCTGGTACTGAAAGTGCCCACCTAAAATTCTGCATGAACAGTTTTATTGAAAAAATATGTAGACAAGCCATTAATTATACACAGTGATTTAGAACAAATTCTTACAAGAAGCATAGCATGTCTTCCATTAACTGTATACAATTTTAAAAAGTTACTGAAAGTCTTCCTGAAGTTAAACAATAAATCTTTAAATTTAACCACTGTGCTCCCTCAAAGGTAATTTTTTCTTTATGACACTCACTTAGGGGATACAGTCAGATCTCAGCCTACTTTAAACAACTAGGCAGTATTTTTAGTGCACTTTTCTGTTTGTTAAAAAGCTAGTTGTCAACGTTAGCACCAGAGTTGGGGAGTTTTAAGAGGTTTAGAAGCCTAGCCATGAATACCCACAACAGTTACGGAGGCAAAGGAAATAGGCCTTTGAAAAGAAGATAATGCCCTCTCCCTCTCCCCACGTTCCCCTCTCTCTCTCTTTCCACGGTCTCCCTCTCCCTCTCTTTCCACGGTCTCCCTCTGATGCCCAGCCGAAGCTGGACTGTACTGCTGCCATTTTGACTCACTGCAACCTCCCTGCCTGATTCTCCTGCCTCAGCCTGCCGAGTGCCTGCAATTGCGGGCGTGCGCCGCCACACCTGACTGGTTTTCGTATTTTTTTGGTGGAGACGGGGTTTCGCTGTGTTGGCCGGGCTGGTCCCCAGCTCCTAACTGCGAGTGATCCGCCAGCCTCGGCCTCCCGAGGTGCCGGGATTGCAGACAGAGTCTCGTTCACTCAGTGCTCAATGGTGCCCAGGCTGGAGTGCAGTGGTGTGATCTCTGCTCGCTACAACCTCCACCTTCCAGCTGCCTGCCTTGGCCTCCCAACGTGCCGAGATTGCAGCCTCTGCCCGGCTGCCACCCCGTCTGGGAAGTGAGGAGCATCTGCCTGGCCGCCCATCGTCTGGGATGTGAGGAGCCCCTCTGCCTGGCTGCCCAGTCTGGAAAGTGAGGAGCATCTCTGCCCGGCCGCCATCCCATCTAGGAAGTGAGGAGCGTCTCTGCCTGGCCGCCCATCGTCCGAGATGTGGGGAGCACCTCTGCCCGGCCGCGACCCTGTCTGGGAGGTGAGGAGCGTCTCTGCCCGGCCGCCCCATCTGAGAAGTGAGGAGCGTCTCCGCTCGGCAGCCACCCCGTCCGGGAGGGAGGTGGGGGTCAGCCCACGCCCGGCCGGCCGCCCCGTCTGGGAGGGAGGTGGGGGGTCAGCGCCCGCCCGGCCAGCTGCCCCGTCCGTTAGGTGAGGGGTGCCTCTGCCCGGCCGCCCCTACTGGGAAGTGAGGAGCCCCTCTGCCCAGCCACCACCCCGTCTGGGAGGTGTACCCAACAGCTCATTGAGAACAGGCCATCATGACAATGGCGGTTTTGTGGAATAGAAAAGGGGGAAAGGTGGGGAAAAGATTGAGAAATCGGATGGTCGCTGTGTCTGTGTAGAAAGAAGTAGACATGGGAGACTTTTCATTTTGTTCTGTACTAAGAAAAATTCTTCTGCCTTGTGATCCTGTTGATCTATGACCTTACCCCCAACCCTGTGCTCTCTGAAACATGTGCTGTGTCCACTCAGGGTTAAATTGATTAAGGGTGGTGCAAGATGTGCTTTGTTAAACAGATGCTTGAAGGCAGTATGCTCGTTAAGAGTCATCACCACTCCCTAATCTCAAGTACCCAGGGACACAAACACTGTGGAAGGCCGCAGGGTCCTCTGCCTAGGAAAACCAGAGACCTTTGTTCACTTGTTTATCTGCTGACCTTCCCTCCACTATTGTCCTATGACCCTGCCAAATCCCCCTCTGCGAGAAACACCCAAGAATGATCAATTAAAAAAAAAAAGCTAGTTGTCAAGAATAAGTTGCTCAAATATCTTCCTCAATTACTTTTTATTTTGTTTTGTAATTATTATTCTATTTTGGTTTTCCTTTAGAATTGTGAAATATCTTGAATCAGAAATTGCAGAGAATATATAAATGTGTAGGAATGTACTCTGCAATCAAACTAGATCTCGAAAGTGTTTTGTTGTAGTTTATACCTTGAATTCGAAGGCCATTCTATACAAGGCACTTGAAAAATTTTCAAGCTCATATATTTCATAATAGTACAGAATTTATTGTTCTTTTATTTGCAAGGAGATAGACCAGATAAAATATCACTTTATTTTTTACAGTGTTGACTTTGATATTCTAAACTTGTCAGTTTATACAGATTAATGAAGACTCCGTACATGTAAAATTCACTATAATTTTTTTTCTGGTATGAGAATACAAACAAATAGTAACTACATAACCAAACAGGTAAAGTAAAAATATACAATAGCTTGACAAAAAAAAAAAGAAGAAGAAAAAAGAAACCCCTATACATTCCTTAACATTCTAAATCTCTGAGGACAAAATTGGATTCAAAAGAAACATTTCTCGTGGGCAGGGAAAGGGCTAAAAATCTAAAGTATATAATAAGTAAATTCCTCATTGCTATAAAATATATGACCAGCATGACATTTCAATGCATGTTCAAGTTTTCTGAAGAAAGTTCTAGGATAATAGGATTTCAACTTTTGATTCTACAGATATCATTCTTGTGATTGGTATGGGAGAATCATCCTCTCCATGTATTAGTGGATTCAAATGAAAAAAAAAAAAATCAGGCAGCTAGTTCCTTTCCAAGAAGCCTTAGAGATTGTTGTACATAAAAATAGCCATATTTCTGATTCAAATTTTAATTAGAGAATTC